>NC_000006.12:124161699-124464729 GCF_000001405.40 Homo sapiens
ATTTGATACCACATGTTCTCACTTATAAGTGGGAGCTAAACATTGAGTACTTGTAGACATAAAGATGGCAACAATATACATTGAGGACTACTGGAGAGGGGAAGGAGGGAGGCGGAAAGGATTGAAAAACTGTTGAGTACTATGCTCACTACCTGGGTGACGGGATCATTCATACCCCAAACCTCAGCATCACACCATATACTCATGTAACAAACCTCCATGTACCCCTGAATCTGAAATAACAGTTGAAATTCTAAAAAATAAATAAAATAAAATAATGAAAAATAAAATAAGATTATTTGAAGTTTAACAGGGATTGTAAGTTTGTTCGAATAGCTTTAGAAAATAAATTATTTCTAAGTTTTCTTTTATTTCTGGGGAAAGTCAGAGAGACCTGATGTTAAATCTAGTTGTATCACTCATTTGATTTCAGGCAGGTCAGGTAGTTCTTAAGCATCAGTGCCCTTGGTGGTGAAAGAGAGATATGAGTGTATACCTGCAGGATTATGTAAGAATCAGTTGACATGACATACACCTAAGTACCAACACACATAGTATGCGCTCCATAGGAATAAGGACTATTAGACTGGTATGATGGAAGACTTCTTCTACTCAAGTTATTATCCACTTTTCATCCAGTTTTCCCTAGATCTTTCTATTTTTGTGACAGTTAACAGACAATCATTGAATGAGATGGTATTAAATATAAATGGAGTTTTGTTGGTATTTTTTACCCTACTGATTAGAAAAATTGGCACAGATATGGTACAGCATAGAGGGGATGAACTATGCATGTGTATAGCAGAGAATGGATCAGAAATTATGCTGGATGACAGCTGTAAATAATTTCTGCACAACTGCTGAGGCTTTATAGTTCCAGAATGTTTATGGAATTTGGAATGGTAGACTTCATTTCAAAAGGAGAATCGGTGGTGAATGTTGATCACAAACTCAAACTGCCATAAGACAGGTCACATAAAAGAGAGAAGGAGTCCTAGTGAAAGAAGCCATCAAAGTGGTAGCCAGACAGTGTGAGAGCCAGACATTGCCTGTGACCTGCTAACTTACACCCTTTGGAATAGCATTTAAAGGTATTACTGCTGTGATACCTTTATGTTTCTTATGTGTAAACAGATAATGTGTTCATCCTTTCCCATACATGAAGTCTTCTTAGGCAAAGTTCTAATGCATGTGGATTTACTTTTTAAACAGGAATGTTCTTAATTTAGTGTAAATAAATTTTACTATCCGATTCTGTGTGGAAGTTGTATATTATTTAGTTTATAATGTTCTTATTTTCTGATTCTACCCTTATTACACAATTGCTTCCAGAAAAGTTTATCATATTTATACATCAAATTATGATTTTTTCATCTTCATACTGTGAATATTGGAACACTAGGTAATGTTTCAGTATCACATAGTTGATATTCAGTATGTATTAATCTATGTGAATTAGAGTAAGTTAGAAATTCAGCTTCTAAATATAAAGGAAAAACAGACAGGTGATTTTTTTTTCATCTGAGGAAATAAATATACTGTAGTTAAAAAACAAACTAAAAGTTGCTGGTAAACATGCTTGAATTATAAGGAACAGTCCTACTTTGTGTGTGTGTGTTTGTGAATCTAAAAGATGCCCATAAGAAATGGAATGAAACCATTAAGGCCAATTTTGCAAAAGGCCAACAAGAATGTCTCATTGATATTTTTTTGTTTCCTATACAATATTTTTATTATAGATGTGGAAATGCAGGCATTTTCCACAACTTTCCTCCTAGTCTTGAGTTCTCTAAAAATTTCCTCAAATGATGTTTCTAAACAGCAAAGTATCCCATCATTAGAATTTTTCAGATTTAGAACCTATGTAAAATGGTAAGACATTTCATTGGCTTGCAAAAGTCTCTGATGTCCGCATTCTTACTTAATCGCATAGAGCTGTGTTCTATAATTGGAGTATTTTATCTAGTGTTTTCTCTTTGAGGATTTATTGCATTGAAAAAATTTGGTGATATTGAAAGAAATCCAAAGAACAGAAACAGAGATAATTAAAGGAATGAAAAGTGGAAACTGTGAGGGAAGATTAAAGACAGCTGTGATCATTTAGTTTGGAAAGAGGTAAAAATGATCTTCAGTTATAGGAAAGATTTAATATGGAAAAGAACAGTTAGTCTCCATTGATACAAACGATGGATTAAGATAATACGAACTGAAACTTGCAGAAAGACGAATAGAGAGCAGGCTGTTATAGACAACCCTGAAGTCATTTGAAGTGAACTGAGTCCTTAGTCTTATTTCCTTGACTGCTCAGTCACCAATGGATAGTCCATATTTGGTTTGCTTTTTAAAAAAAATTTCCATCAATATTTACAAAGTAAGGTATATGAAGAAGTCTTATAAACTAAATAAGTTTTGTGAAAACTCAAAAGTTAGAATTGTAAACAAGATTTTAGCAAATATTTTGGTACATTTATTTAAGTACTTCAAATGAACTTTTCAAATAAACTCTTAATATACTTTCATTTTTTGCCACGGAAAATAGAGAGCCTAGAGTAAAACAGCATATACCCACGTTTCCCAAACTGTGTATTAAAGCGCCCCAGGAAACCATATTAACTCAAATAGGCACCATGGATTATTTTAAATTTTAAGGAAAATAGTGATACTCAACATCTGTTAAACATCACACAGAGTACTTCCTCCAAGTAGTTCACAGATTTAACATTAGAACACAATAGTTTCTTTTGATGATATCACATCGTTGAGAAGCAGAGTTTTCAGTGCTTCCTGTGGTAAAAAGCAAGTACCATGGGGAAATCAGCGTGGAATAGGATATATAGGTGGTGGTGTCTAATTCGATTCCAAGTTTTAAGAAGTTGCACAACATCCAATAGACACATGTTATTAGTAATGTTGATTACGTAAGAGTAAATCTTTTTTTCTTTCAATTTATGTGCATTATTTTTTTCAAATTGCTACTCGGGTAGACCATAAGTATGTTTTAAGTAGTGTGGGCTTAACTATTAAACTGGCGGTCGTATTACAAAAAATATTCATGGAGTGCTGTGAAAAATTATAAGGCAAGTGGATCGCCACAAAACCAGAAAATTGAGAGTATTCTTTGTTAATTTGTTTCTTATTTTAAAGTAACAATGTGCATCTTATGTGCTTCACAATATGCTTACATTGGTACAAGTAGGGGTTAGAACAAATCATGGTACATTTGTGACAGAATATTAGGTTTAGAGCCATAACTTGATTGTTCATTTAAATGACTTTCATGGTCAGAGGTTCTTTTTCTAGACAATCTTGTAGGGTTTTAGAAATATTTCTTATTAATTATAACTAATATCTTGTAAAATGAAGATTACTTTATTACTTCTTTAAGGCCCAAAATTTCTTAAGTGCTAAAGAATACTTTAGTGGTAATCTGTGTCTGTGGCTCTTATATTTTTGGTATTGGTGAAAAGCATTTATTGTGACTATAAAAATTTTAAACATTTTGAAATATGTGAATATGCCTTGAAATATATTAAGAAGCTTTCTTTAATAATAGTTTTCCCAAATTAGAAGTGCACTGTCCCTTGAGGAAAAATTGGAATCACTAATTATGGGCTTAATAAAATGTTGCTAATAGGCAGGAATGGTCAGCCCTGAATTAAAACTTCTACTAGTGAGAAAATATGAATGAATGTAATTCTACATTTTATTCAATTTCCTTTTTTGCTATATTTTCCCAATATACCAGTTTGTTTGAAAATGATGTGTTAGTAAAATATGTCCTCCAACTCTAACAATCAGTTTATGTATTTTTTTATTTTATTTTATTATTATTATACTTTAAGTTTTAGGGTACATGTGCACAATGTGCAGGTTAATTACATATATATACATGTGCCATGCTGGTGTGCTGCACCCATTAACTCGTCATTTAGCATTAGGTATATCTCCTAATGCTATCCCTCCCCCCTCCCCCTACCCCACCACAGTCCCCAGAGTGTGATGTTCCCCTCCCTGTGTCCATGTGTTCTCATTGTTCAATTCCCACCTATGAGTGAGAACATGTGGTGTTTGGTTTTTTGTCCTTGCGATAGTTTACTGAGAATGATGATTTCCAATTTCATCCATGTCCCTACAAAGGACATGAACTCATCATTTTTTATGGCTGCATAGTATTCCATGGTGTATATGTGCCACATTTTCTTAATCCAGTCTATCATTGTTGGACATTTGGGTTGGTTCCAAGTCTTTGCTATTGTGAATAGTGCCGCAATAAACATACGTGTGCATGTGTCTTTATAGCAGCATGATTTATAGTCCTTTGGGTATATACCCAGTAATGGGATGGCTGGGTCAAATGGTATTTCTAGTTCTAGATCCCTGAGGAATCGCCACACTGACTTCCACAATGGTTGAACTAGTTGACAGTCCCACCAACAGTGTAAAAGTGTTCCTATTTCTCCACATCCTCTCCAGCACCTGTTGTTTCCTGACTTTTTAATGATCGCCATTCTAACTGGTGTGAGATGGTATCTCATTGTGGTTTTGATTTGCATTTCTCTGATGGCCAGTGATGGTGAGCATTTTTTCATGTGTTTTTTGGCTGCATAAATGTCTTCTTTTGAGAAGTGTCTGTTCATTTCCTTCGCCCACTTGTTGATGGGGTTGTTTGTTTTTTTCTTGTAAATTGGTTGGAGTTCATTGTAGATTCTAGATATTAGCCCTTTGTCAGATGAGTAGGTTGCAAAAATTTTCTCCAATTTTGTAGGTTGCCTGTTCACTCTGATGGTAGTTTCTTTTGCTGTGCAGAAGCTCTTTAGTTTCATTAGATCCCATTTGTCAATTTTGTCTTTTGTTGCCATTGCTTTTGGTGTTTTAGACATGAAGTCCTTGCCCATGCCTATGTCCTGAATGGTAATGCCTAGGTTTTCTTCTAGGGTTTTTATGGTTTTAGGTCTAAGGTTTAAGTCTTTAATCCATCTTGAATTAATTTTTGTATAAGGTGTAAGGAAGGGATCCAGTTTCAGCTTTCTCCATATGGCTAGCCAGTTTTCCCAGCACCATTTATTAAATAGGGAATCCTTTCCCCATTGCTTGTTTTTGTCAGGTTTGTCAAAGATCAGATAGTTGTAGATATGCGGCGTTATTTCTGAGGGCTCTGTTCTGTTCCATTGATCTATATCTCTGTTTTGGTACCAGTACCATGCTGTTTTGGTTACTGTAGCCTTGTAGTATAGTTTGAAGTCAGGTAGCGTGATGCCTCCAGCTTTGTTCTTTTGGCTTAGGATTGACTTGGGGATGCGGGCTCTTTTTTGGTTCCATATGAACTTTAAAGTAGTTTTTTCCAATTCTGTGAAGAAAGTCATTGGTAGCTTGATGGGGATGGCATTGAATCTATAAATTACCTTGGGCAGTATGGCCATTTTCACGATATTGATTCTTCCTACCCATGAGCATGGAATGTTCTTCCATTTGTTTGTATCCTCTTTTATTTCCTTGAGCAGTGGTTTGTAGTTCTCCTTGAAGAGGTCCTTCATGTCCCTTGTAAGTTGGATTCCTAGGTATTTTATTCTCTTTGAAGCAATTGTGAATGGGAGTTCACTCATGATTTGGCTCTCTGTTTGTCTGTTATTGGTGTATAAGAATGCTTGTGATTTTTGTACATTGATTTTGTATCCTGAGACATTGCTGAAGTTGCTTATCAGCTTAAGGAGATTTTGGGCTGAGACAATGGGGTTTTTTAGATATACAATGATGTCATCTGCAAACAGGGACAATTTGACTTCCTCTTTTCCTAATTGAATACCCTTTATTTCCTTCTCCTGCCTGAATGCCCTGGCCAGAACTTCCAACACTATGTTGAATAGGAGTGGCGAGAGAGGGCATCCCTGTCTTGTGCCAGTTTTCAAAGGGAATGCTTCCAGTTTTTGCCCATTCAGTATGATATTGGCTGTGGTTTTGTCATAGATAGCTCTTATTATTTTGAGATATGTCCCATCAGTACCTAATTTATTGAGAGTTTTTAGCATGAAGGGTTGTTGAATTTTGTCAAAGGCCTTTTCTGCATCTATTGAGATAATCATGTGGTTTTTGTCTTTGGTTCTGTTTGTATGCTGGATTACATTTATTGATTTGTGTATATTGACTTCAGTGATGCATTATAGATTCAGTGATTTTTATGTACTTAGGTAGCCTCTTGAATTGAGCTCCTGAAACTTTGCAATGTAATGTTTATCAAAGTACATGTGACCATAGAGATATATTTCTAACCATTTCCTTCTCTTTTGAGAATCCAAAACCCATGTGGTACCCACATAAAAAACCAAGCATTTATTCTGCCTCAATGCCACATTATTTGTCATTACATTTGAATCATAGGTGAAGAGTTTGAAGCAAAATCAAATTAGTATCTGTCCTGGTTTATCATCTCTTTGCAAATTGGACATTTAATTTTTTTATAATAGTGCACAAGTTCATATTACATCATTGTCAGTTTGTATTAGTATTGCTATATATGCTGGCCATAAGTCTGTAAAATTTGACAAGTTAACTGAAGGACTAATCACCTGAAATGCATCTGACCAGTAAAGATACCATCAGAATGATCATACTTTAAGTTTCCAAAAATGATTTGGTGTTTCTGGGAATTTTAGCTACAACAGAATTTAATGATGGTTCAGAATTATATGATATTGTAGTATGGATACTCTTGTACATACACTGAATTTGAAAGAGACATTCTTGTCTATACATGGAATATTGAAATATTAAAATGACAGTTATCCATGGGTTATAATTTTTTCTTTTGTGAAAAATGCTAAATATTAATATAACAAAAGTTAAAGCCTGTTAATTTTGTGTGTGTGTGTGTGTGTGGTCTACACACTAAGAATGACATATCTAACATAAAACATTCTTTGAGTAATATGAATTTTAGAACCATTGCCTGTGTGTTGGCCAGTTCACACTTAATAAATATTTAGGTATTGTGAAATTAGCTCTAATACCAACATATTATCTTGAAAGGAGAATCAGTCATCTTAATGATAGTAACAGCCTCTTGTAAATTTTATTAAGTATATTAAGAACAATTCCTTTGGTTGAGGCAAAGTTTAACTTCCAAAATGATGTAAGGTGAATGATACTTCAGAGTACTATTCTTTTGCACTATTTACAGGTTACAGTGTCAAACAGAATTATTGGCATATTTTCATTTTAACAATCGGAATATTTGGAGGCCCATGGTTCTTTGTCAAATATTTGCGTATATTTTAGTAAAGCTAGTTAAAAAATTCACAAAACAAGTAAAATGCTCTTCTTGTATACTTTTGACATCAGTATTTCTCATGTTCAATATGTGCTTTAATATTGAATGTTCAGAATTGGATGTGTGTGTATATGTGCACAGACACATATATGTACATTTAAATTTTGATGTTTATTATCCAGTATAGCACTGTGCACCCAAAGATATATAACATTACTTAATGATAAATTTCTGTGTTTTTTTCTAGTATTATCTTGCTGATAATAAATATACATAGTCTCAAAAATTTATTTCTCTTAGATCTAAATAATATTCTTTACATTCTGAGAAATTTGCATTTGATAAAATTTGGATATTGAAAGAGGCTAATTCTGCTCTTTTCACAAGTTTATCTTTTTGCAATCAAAGTAGATAAAGATTATTGCTCATTAAGTATTAAAAATGCCAAGCAGTGGGATTTGCTACAGTTTCACATTGATGGCTGATCTAGAATTGCTACATTTTACAATCCATGGCACATATTTTAATATCTCTTAGTTCCTAAATATAGTTTCTCAAATTAAATTAATTTAGGCAAAAAGATAAGTTCACTGACTTACAGAAGTTAACTTAAGGAAATAATTAAGCACCTCACCAAGCAACCAGGCTTAAATTCTACTGAGACCCTCTCATTGGCCTGCCTTGCTCCTTTCCTTTCTGAGCCATGCTGATTCTTAGTGCGTATGTTTTTTTTCTCCATGCACTTTGAATGGAAAATCTTATCTCCATGCACTTAGGATGGAAATCTTCTTAGGTGGAAAATCTTACCTCTGTTTGCTTCCTGGTTTTACATTCTGCATCCTCACCATTGGGGTGGAACGGACTTTCACCCCAGACTCACTTATTCAGAAATCGCAGAGAAAGAGCCTCTTTGGTCCATTTTGGGTCAAATGCTCAGCCTTAAAATGGTCAGCTTGGGCCGAGGCCTAAGTACTGTAATTAAATAGATTTAGTTAGGGAACTTTGGGGTTTTTATTAAGAGTGTTTCCTTCCCAACAGTAGCCACATCATTTAGGGGCTGAAGTGAGGAAGGACTTCCTAGAAGAATGGGGATGCAAACCATTTTCTGAGTTCAGCCTTCTTTTCTTCTTGCTGAATCTCTATTCCTGTAAATCCTCACCAGGGATGCTTCCTTATTTCATGCAGATCTCAGCTCAAATATCACCTTTCCCTGCATTATTGTCTAATATTTTGTACTCCTCTTTGCACTCTCTCTTTTTCCACTGCTTTATTGTTCCTTCACAACATTGCTTGGTGTTATTTAAGTGTTCCCTTGTTTATTTTTCTACTACACTGGGAACAGTGTACTGAACAGTGAACTTGGCATATTGTACGTATTCCAGAGATATTTGTTGAATGAATATAAGGGAACACTATGCCATTTCCATAGATATTTTTTTCTATTTACCCTAACCTGAATTTCTCTCTGCTAAATAGAAAGTATGCAGGGAGAAGTATCTCTGATGTATGGCAAAAGAATGTCAAGACAAAATCATTAAATGTAATGGCTAGAGTTGGACAATGAAAGTGTGCTGTAACTCATTAGAGAACATTTCTCTGTATCATTTCTTCCCCATATAGTAACTGATTTTTTCTTAAATAAAGAGATAGTGGCTTCTTGGATTCCACAAAATCCTTTGATATTTTCTATAAATACAGTGAATTTGGCCTCAATGAAGCCACTTTTTATGTCCAATATATGCATTTAGAATACGAAAGTATAAATAGCAAAGATAGTAATATGTGTTTTAGTTCCGTGGATGTTCCTAATAAACATTCAGGTGATACCTAGGGTGTTTATATTTAGCTAAACTGACTAGATAATCCAGTCATATCTGTGGTCTCTTTCGGTAAACTGATAATTTTCTGACAAAATTTATCACATTTGACTCATTAGTTCTTTATAAGTTTTTTCCCCAATTCAAAGCTTACCTTTTCACTCTGGTAAAATGCTCCTTAAAGAAAATTTACCGTGATTTCTTTAGAATTTTTGTCACTATCTTTAAAAAACAAATTTTCATAATTGTGAAGGTTTTTTTTTAGAAAATTTCATTTGAGATGTGTGGGAAAGAGGTTAAAACAAATAAAGTGAAGACTAACACTCAACTCTCACTTTTCCACTAAATGTAAATTTTATCACAGTTTCTATACCCTCATCCTTGTCATTAGGTATTATGCTTTTTTGCAGCCATATTCTTAAGGAACTTTTTTTGTTTTGTTTTGTTTTGGGAGCTAAATTCTGTTGGCAGAAAGACAAAATTTTCCCGTGTTCTGCTCTCTAGCATATCTTTCTAATTTTAAAATTTTAGGACCTAGAGATTTTCATCTCTTCATTTTGACCATGGTAATTTGAAGTGAAACAGCAAGATTTGACATAAGAATAAAAGATATAAGTTAGAAAATTCATTTCTGCAGTTTATTCGGATCCATTCTGGAATAATTTTTCCTCCTATGATAGATTCTTAAAGCAATTAGAAAACCAAGATTTTGTGATATTACTAATCATAAAACAATGTTAAGTTTTCGTAAGAGAGGGCCGATTTGATTTTTTTTTTTTTTTTTTTTTTGAGACAGAGTCTTGCTCTGTTGCCCAGGCTGGAGTGCAGTGGTACCATCTCGGCTCACTGCAACGTCTGCCTCCCGGTTCAAGCAATTCTCCTGCCTCAGCCTCCCAAGTAACTGGGACTACAGGCACATGCTGCCACGCCCGGCTAATTTTTTTGTATTTTAGTAGAGATGGGGTTTCACCGTGTTGCCCAGGCTGGTCTCGAACTCCTGAGCTCAGGCAATCCGCCTGCCTTGGCCTCCCAAAGTGCTAGGATTACAGGCGTGAGCCACCGCGGCCGACTCTTTTTTTTTTTTGAGAGAGAGTCTCGCTCTGTCGCCCAGGATGGAGTACAATGGCATGATCTCCACTCACTTGCCTCAGCCTCCCAAGCAACTGGTACTACAGGCACATGCTGCCACGCCCAGCTAATTTTTTGTATTTTTAGTAGAGACGGGGTTTCACCGTGTTAGCCAGGGTGATCTCCATCTGGTGACCTCGTGATCCGTCCGCCTCGGCCTCCCAAAGTGCTGGGATTACAGGCGTGAGCCACTGTGCCCAGCCCCCAATTTTTTTAATGATAGTGAAGTTGAACAAGTTTTTTGCATTTTTGGAAACAGATTTGAATATTTTAACTTTTTAATTCTTCTTTGAATAATTTGCATGTTTTTAAAAAACTCTTTCATGGAATACATGACTGGCTTTTGAAGTAAATTTGTTATATCAAAACCAGTATTTTCTCAGGTGAAGTGGAATGGAATGAAATAGAATTGAATAGAACACTGGGATAGAGTAAGTAGAATGTCCTGGTTGCAATATATTCCATGAATTTTGAATTCTAATTCTAACTACTGCTGTTTGGTGGGAGTTCTCCTACGTAAGTTTCATTTTATTATGGAGTGTATGTACCATCTTGCTCATATCAAATATTCCTTTAAATTCTATAAACCTCAAAATTTCCCTCTGTTTAATACAGAATATTGACTGCAATGATATCAGATTTTAAAAATCTGTATATCATTCTTGTGGAAGGAAGTATATATTCTTGTGGAAGGAAGTAAAAAAGTATATATTCTTGTGGAAGGAAGTAAAAAAGTTCCAAAGCCTGTTAGAATCTGTATAAACTTATGGAATCATTACTTCTTTTTGTTTTACTACATTAAATTCACCTTAAATTCAGTCCAGGTTTTTACTTTGAGATATTTCATATCTGAAATGGCTACAGCATTCTGTTGCACTCATCTGCTGGAGCTCAAGCAACTTATAAACATCTTTACATTAATATTCAGAAATCAGTTTCTATCATTTAATATGTAGTGTGGGAATAGTTCACATATAGAGTTTGGCTGTATCTTTGATTCCTTATCCTGTACCACATGAGCAAGATTTCTTCTTCTACACATGCCTTTGGAATTGCCTCATATACACTCAAAGCTTTCCATTTAAGCAATTTAGTGACAATTGCATTAATTCAAATCATAGCTGATTTTACAACTGAAGTAGAATATGATTGGGGATTATCTGAAGTCTCCTCTAAAACTCTCTCAGTTTAAATTGATGGTAATCTACTCCTGAATAATGAAATATTTCAAATTGTCTAATTGCATGATATAAAATGCATATACAATTGTATTAAGAATAATGATAAAATGAGAATCTCTCTTGCTCTTATAAAAGCACCATGACTAGTTTTTACATATGAATTCAAAATGATTCGGTTGATTCTTAACATTTCATAACACCAACCTGTTCTACACATTCATTTTAGCATATATTACTTTTAGTACGTGATTGGGAGTTTTACTGGAAATGTTTCTGTCTTCCAGTCTCTAACAGCTTTAAGCTTATATTCTAATTTCAGTAATGAAGTGAGATACCTATTCCTACCTCAAAAACTTCCCTTTCACAAAGACTAAATTTCCTCAAAGATTGAGCCTTAAAGAAGCAACAAGAAAGTGCATAAAAAATGCAAAGCTGATTCTTTGCATAATATTAATAGGCCCTTTGAAGAAACTGTAGAGTGAAAAAGGGATGGTGGTATTATATCTTGCTAAAGCTGCTCCAAATCAAATTATTTCTAAAATTATACTTAAAAACTAAATTTGATACTGACTTTATGATACCTATATCAAATATTATTTTATCTTGTTTTCTCTTGAAAGTAAGGAGAAATTGAAATAATTTGAATATCCCTCTTCTTTGTTATATAATCATCATTTTTGAAAGTTTTTTCAGGTTTGTGCAATAGAGTAGAGCAAGCAATATTAGATTGATACTTAGTGGATGGTTCTTATTCCTTATTTCTTCAAACTTCTCTTCAGAGTAAAGTTTTGATAATTGATAATTTTAATCATTGATTTCTAGGGTGATAGCTATTATTTTGGAAAATAAAGGATTAAAATTTTCATGCCGAAGGATACTGTTTACATTCATGTATAGCATGCAATAGGGATTTTGTTTATCTGGCCATTTTGAGGCAAGAAGGGATATTATGTTGAAGTATTCATTTCTTATTTTTAAAATCTGATATCATTGCAGTCAATATTCTGTATTAAACAGAGGGAAATTGTGAGGTTTATAGAATTTAAAGGAATATTTGATATGAGCGAGGTGGTACATACACTCCATAATAAAATGAAACTTACTTAAGAGAACTCCCACCAAACAGCAGTAGTTAGAATTCAAAATTCATGGAATGCCACAGAATCCTGAATTTGGAAGAAAATTCAGAAGTTGTTCATTCAAACTTCACACTAAAAGCACCTTTCAACTTTACCTGTTAATCATTCTAAACCAAACTTCCTCAAGTGTCTCCTTAAATAAAAGGCACACTTCTGGATTTAAGGAAAACAAAGATAAAAAGGTCACAATCTCTACCTTGCAGAAATTAGTTAGGGCAGCCTAAGTACAATGAAGAAAAACTCATAATTTTAGTAATTTAGCACAATAAAAGCTTATTTCTTGTTAAATAGATACAGGGGTAGTACTCTGTTCTACAGAGTTGTTCTGGGATTCAGCCTCCTTACCCTGTCCAACTCCACCCTTTTCTAATTCCTAGCACTCCTATTCATTCAACTATTCTTTCAACTAGGGAATGGTCAAAGAGAGTGAGGGCAGGATTGCATCAAGAGATTATTAAGGGTCAGGCCTAAAAGAAGGCACCACTTCTACTCATATTTCATTGGCCAGAATGTAGTCATATGACCAAACCAACTAATGAAAGAAAAGCAGGGAAATGTAGGCAACCTTGGTGTCCAGGAGGAAGGAAAAAATAGTTTAGTGACACATTGGTCAGTCCCTTTGAAAAGGTCTTTGCAGTTGACTTATATATCTCTGAAAGATTGTCCCTCTAGCTCCTTTTTGACCACTTAAATGTCACCACTTTAGTAAAATGTATATGTAAATTTGAAATTATCTGAGGACTTTAATAAAAATTTTAATTCACAGAATGATTCTCCTTTTACTTTGTGAATACCTGTATCTACCTTATTAAAATAAGGCCATTTTCAGTTGTAATAATAAATAGAAAGTGTGTTTTTAAGCACCATTGTAACTTGGGTTATCAAAAGGTGGGTGCTGAATGTTATTAATACTATTGATTTTCTTTGCACTTTACTTCTGTTAAGAAGCAGGAATCATGTGGCTCTCATTGCATAGACAGCGTGAAGTGCTTGTAGAAACTTGCAGTTCACCCTGAGTGACAGATCTACACTCACACAGACTGCATACTAGGCTGCACATCTGTATGAAGGCATTACTATTTGTAGGGAAAAAAAGAACAATATTATGCTTCAGGCCAGGAAAGTCAAATAGCTGAAGTCAATATTAAGATAGTTAGGATAATATTTCAGAAAAGATTTGCCTGCTTCACTTGGCGTAAATTTAAATAGTCAAACTTCCTAAACATTTAAAAGTTAAAACAAGGGCTTAAAATATATGATGTGAGTTTCACATAATGTCTACACTGCCTCTGCCTGTACCTAATGGGAAAATGAAAATCACTTACATGTTAAAGTCTGATTGGTTTACAAATTTCAATGACTACCCACTTAGTAGATACATCTATTGTTTTTATATCATTATTTTTATACAATGGGAAGTTACTAATATAATTTTTCCCATATCCCAACCTTTTACTCTTCCCCTTCTGTTTACAGGATGAACCCCAAAGTCTTTAGTTTATCAATTCAGATTTTTTTTAAATGTAGCCTCACTGGGTTTTCAACATTATTTTCCAATCTACGATTTGCTAAATAAACTTGTTGCTCCACCAAAACTGTTCTCTCCAAAGTTTGTGAATGTACATCTCTCTCTTGCCCTTTATTTCTCTCTTTCTCACTCTTTATTTCATCACATGTGTAGATTTATGTTATTGTAATCTGCTTTTTACATTTTTTTAAGTACTGACACTACTGTTCCATGCTGCCTCTCATGAGAAATTTTCTAGTTTATGCAGACTTACCTCAGAGATATTGTAGTTTAGGCTCCAGACTATCACAATAAAGGGAATATTGCAATGAAGTGAGTCACACAAATCTTTTGGTTTTCCAGTACATATAAGGGTTATACTATACTGTAGTCTATTAATTATGCAATAGCATTATGTCTAAAAAAGTGCATACTTTAAAATACTTTATTGTAAAAAAGATGCTGACAGAGACACAAAGTGAGCACATGCTGTTGGAAAATGGCTCTGATAAGCTTTCTCAACTCATGGTTACTACAGACCTTCGATTTGTAAAAAAATGCATTATCTGTGAAGTATGATTTAAAAAAGTATGCCCATAGTTTGGTTCCAGGACTAGCTAGTCTCTAATAACTAGCTCTACTGGTTATATTTTGAATTCTTTGGGATTTTCTATATACAAGATCATGTCTTCTAATAAAAGAGATTGTTTTATTTTGCCTTTCCAAATTGCTTTCTCTTGCCCAATTGCTTTGGCTAAAACTTCCAGTACGATGTTGAATGACAGTGGTGAAAATAGACATCCATTATGATCCTAATCTTAGGGGATAAACATGTAATGTTTATAAACAGTGTTGTTAACTGAAGCATTTTTTCTTCCTTATTCTAGATTTATTAAAAATAAATAGTAGATTTATAGAAGGCAAGGATAAACATACAGATTCCTGCCATGTTAATATGTAATTTAACAACAAAATTATATGTCTGTGCTGCTAGATATGATAGAATAAAAATGATATTGCATTACTAATTTAACTGGAATCTATTTTATTATTAGTGAGGTTGAATATCTTTTATGTTTCTTGTGTGTATTCTTTTGTTAACATCTCATACATTTTCCTATTTTTATTTTCATGTTTGTCTTTTAATATGCAAGTTTTTATATTGACTATTAACTTTTACCCATCTTATGTCTTGCAAAAGTCTTTCCTAGTATGACTTTTTTAAAAATGCCTTTCCATATAGTTTTAAAATTCTGTGGCATAAAATTTTTTATCTTTCATTTTATTCTTTCAGACTACGTGTCCTACTTTAAAAGTCCTATGTGGGTATAATAAAAAATGAGTAATATTAGGTTAATCTACCAAATATTTTTTGAAAATTTGACAAACCCTTGAAATCCAAAATGCAAAAGTATTTTATATCAATTACCAGTTTTAAATTAGGAGTCACATTTATTGTAAAAATAAACAATTTTTGATACTTGGAGAAAACAAAAAAGCATTCGATACAAGTAGTCCAAACAATTAGAAATTTTATTTCACATGCACAGTTTAGATATTACTTTATAAGGGGAAAACAGATACTTGAGTATGACATGGAGAATTGTGACTTTGGAGGGTGGCAGCTTCTTAGCATGATTTCTTTTAAACTTCTGGTATAATCCTGTGACATTTCTGTAAATGACTACCACTGGAATCCTTTTTTGTGGCCCAGGTATTGACTTTCAGAACCCCTCATTAAAACATAGTTATGGCATCAGTCTATTACCAGTCCATAACATTATTACACTTATCCTGGGAAAATAGGAAATACAAAAAAATTAATCCCTATTTAGAAATCTCTGCATAGCAGATATGATTGTGTTTTACGTACATTGTTATGGTTGAAAGTTTTTTTTTCCCCAAAATCTATATGTTGAAATCCTAACCTCCAAGGAGCTGGGGCCATTTGGGAAGTGATTAGGTCATAAAGGAGGAAGCTCTCAAAATGGGATTAAAGCCTTTATAAAAGAGGCGCAACGGAGTTTCTGTTCATCCATTTTTTTTTTTTTTTTTTTTTTTTTTTTGAGACGGAGTCTCGCTCTGTCGCCCAGGCTGGAGTGCAGTGGCGGGATCTCGGCTCACTGCAAGCTCCGCCTCCCGGGTTCACGCCATTCTCCTGCCTCAGCCTCCCAAGTAGCTGGGACTACAGGCGCCCGCCACTACGCCCGGCTAATTTTTTGTATTTTTAGTAGAGACGGGGTTTCACCGTTTTAGCCGGGATGGTCTCGATCTCCTGACCTCGTGATCCGCCCGCCTCGGCCTCCCAAAGTGCTGGGATTACAGGCGTGAGCCACCGCGCCCGGCCAATCTGTTCATCCATTTTACCATGTGAAGATGCAGCAAAAAGGTGCCATGTAAGAAACAGGAAGAAGAGGGCTTCAATAGACTCCAAATTTTCTGGTACTTTTATCTTACACTTTCCAGCCTCCAGAACTGTGAGAAATACATTTCTGTTGTTTATCAGACCCCCCAGTTTCTAGTATTTTGTTACAGCAGCCAAATGGATTTAGACGTACATTAACTTTTTTTTTTTTTTTTGAGACAGAGTCTCGCTCTGTTGCCCAGGCTGGAGCGCAGTGGCATGATCTAGGCTCACTGCAAGCTCCGCCTCCTGGGTTCACGCCATTCTCCTGCCTCAGCTTCCCGAGTAGCTGGGACTACAGGCGCCCGCCACCATGCCCGGCTAATTTTTTGTATTTTTAGTAGAGATGGGGTTTCACCGTGTTAGCCAGGATGGTCTCAATCTCCTGATCTTGTGATCCACCCACCTCGGCCTCCCAAAGTGCTGGGATTACAGGCATGAGCCACCACACCTGGCCGACATACATTAACTTTTAATGATCACATAATCCTAATTAAGATATGCAGATAATATTAAATAGCCACATGTGATGCATGAGGAAACTAAGGATAGTGTGGTTTAAATAATTTTCTCAAGGTGACAGAGCTATTCTTTTAGAAAGTCAGTATTCATACCTGGGCAATTTGGCTCTAGGCTCTATGCTTCCCACTTGACTGGCCAGTTTTGATTCAGGAAATATTCTGAGCACAATGTGCTCAAAAAAGAAGAGACTCAACTCTGATTAGAATAGAAACAGTGAATTCAGACTTTGAAAGATAGTGTAAAATCAAGGCCTCTAAATGTGTTCCAGATGTGGTACTATCCTTAATGAGAGAATGTGTAATTGTTTCAGATGTTGGTCATGGAGCACAGTGAATTTGGTAATTATTGACCCAACACAGGTGCTGTACAATACAGGTACTACAACTCGATTAAAATTAGCAAAGACTTTAAAATTGTTAGCTTGCAAATATAAAGATAATCAAGGAATTTGAAACCAATAAGAGGAATTAAGATACTAACCTGTAGGGATATATATGTTTCCTACCAAATAATTAGATCTTAGTAGAAAATGTATTAGCTCTATGTTCATCTCAGTGAAGACCTATGGCTCACAGAGCTGGAGGCATCAGAAGGTGACTGGGGAAGAGTTTGTCAATACAGGCTTTGCAGACCTTTACTGTCTCATTTAACACTAGACATGTTCTTCAGCTATTCTGTGTGTAGGTAGTGAAGGATTTGCAATCAGAAGGAAGTGATCTCAAATGCAATGACTTTGCACAAGTCTGTTAATGTCTTAAAGTGTTATATAGCACTTGTTTTATGTTGTAGGATCAAATAATGTAAACAATTGATAGAAATGTAAAGCTCTATGCATTTCTAATTACTTTGGTAATTAAAGTTTAAATCAAGAACCAGAGAAGTTACAAAATTACAGTTGAGAGGAAAAGGAGGGGAGAGGAAGCAGAAAGGCAGTGAGCAGACAGCAGAGGGACTGCTGGGAGAGCAGTAGGCACTCAAGGCGCATCTGCTCCATTTCACCCATTACCCATGGGTAGGCGCTGGATATTGGGCCTTTTATCCACAGAATTACTTTCTGAGGGGAAATGTAACTGTGACTGTTATGTTGGTTTCTTTTCCTGTGAAGCAATGTGCAAACATCAAAGAAGGTTTCTATTAGAATCAAAGTACTCCTTGATTGCAAACCTTCTTAAATAATGGATGACACTTGAAGATGTTGGTTGTCATTTTTAATAATTAACTATGTCTAATTTTGGCAGTAACTGAAGCTTTATTTTCTGTAAGAGCTTGACAGATTACTTGATTTAGAGGAGCAAGAGATTTAGATATTGCATAGTGCTGAGAGCCACAAATTCTGAATAAATTTCCCACTCTCTGTATGACATTTTCTTTTCAGGTGAAGTTTTCTCCTTTCATGGGTAAATAGATTACAGGTAGATAGGTAGGCATGTAAGCAAATAGATATCTACTGTGTGTGTGTGTGTGTGTATGTATCCAGATAGATAGATAGATAGATAGAGCTAAGATACAGATATAAATACCTAATTGTATTCTCATGCTGCCAATAAAGACTTACCTGAGACTGGGTAATTTAACAAGGAAAGAGGTTTAATTGACTTACAATCCCACATGGCTGGGAAGACTCATAATCATGGTGAAAGGCAGGCAAAGGAGGAGCAAAGTCATGTCTTACATGGCAGCAGACAAGAGAGTGTGTGTAGGGGAACTCCCCTTCATAAAACAATCAGCTCTCCTGAGACTTATTCACTACCATGAGAACAGCATGGGAAAAAACCCACCCCTATGATTCAATTACCTCCCACCAGTTCCCTCCCATGACACCTGAGAATTATGGGAGCTACAATTCAAGATGAGATTTGGGTGGGGACACAGCCAAACCATATCATTCCACCCCTGGCCCCTCTCAAATCTCATGTCCTCACATTTCAAAACCAATCATGCCTTCCCAGCAGTCCCCAAAGTCTTAACTCATTTCAGCATTAAATCAGAAGTCAAGAGTCCAAAGTCTCATCTGAGACAAGGCAAGTCCTTTCTACCTATGAGCCTGTAAAATCAAAAGCAAGTTAGTTACTTCCAAGAGGTGGGCTCCCATGGCCTTTGAAAGCTCTGCCCCTGTGGCTTCGCTGGGTACAGCCTCCCTCCTGGCTGCTTTCATGGGCTGGCATTGAATGCCTGTGGCTTTTCCAGGTGCATGGTACAAACAGTTGGTGGATCTACTATCGTGGGGTCTGGAGGATGGTGGCCCTCTTTTCACAGCTCCACTAGGCAGTGTCTCAGTGGGGACTCTGTGAGGGGGCTTTGACTCTGCAATTTCAGTCTACACTGCCCTAGCAGAGGTTCTCCATGAAGGTTCTGCCGCTGCAGCACACCTCAGCCTGGACATCCAAGCATTTCCATACATCCTCTGAAATCTAGGCAGAGGTTCCCAAACCTCAATTCTTGACTTCTGTGTACCTGCAGGCTCAACACCATATGGAAGCTGCCAAGGTTTGGGGCTTGCATCCTCTGAAACCATGGCCCCAGCTGCACCTTGGGGCCTTTTTAGCAATGGCTGGGATGCAGGGCATCAAGTTCCAAGACTGCACAAAGCAGCAAGGCCCTGGGTGTGGCCCAGGAAATCATTTTTTTCCTCCTAGGCCTCTGGGTCTATAATGGGAGGGGATTCCATGAAGACCTATGACATGCCTTGGAGACATTTTCCTTATTGTCTTGGTGATTAACATTTGGCCCCTCATTTTGCAAATTTCTGCAGCTGGCTTAAATTTCTCCTCAGAAAATGGGTTTTTGTTTTCTACCACATCATCAAGCTGCAAATTTTCTGAACTTTTATGCTCTGCTTGCCTTTTAAACATAAGTTCCAATTCCAAACCATATCTCTGTGAATAAATAAAATGGAATACTTCTAACAGAATGAAAGTCACCTCTTGAATGCTTTGCTGCTTAGAAATTTCTTCCACCAGATACCCTAAATCATCTTTCTCAAGTTCAAAGTTCCATAAATCTCTAGGACATGGGCAAAATGTTGCCGGTCTTTTTGCTAAACCATAGAAAGTGTGACCTTTGCTCCGGCTCCCAACAGGTTTCTCATCTCCTTCTGAGACCACCTCAGCCTGGACTTTACTGTCCATATCACTATCAGCATTTTGGTCAAAGCCATTCAACAAGTCTCTAAGAAGCTCCAAGCTTTCCCACATCTTTGTGTCTTCTTCTGAGCCCTTCAAACTGTTCCAACCTCTTCCTGTTACCCAGTTCCAAAGTCACTTCCACATTTTCAGTTATCTTTAGAGCAGCACCGCACCCTACCAGTACCAATTTACTGTATTAGTCTGTTCTCTAATAAAGACATACATGAGAGTGGGTAATTTATAAAGGAAAGAGGTTTAATTGTCTCACAGGCTAGGGAGACCTCACGATCATGGTGGAAGGCAAAGGAGGAGCAAAGGCATGTCTTACTTGGCAGCAGGCAAGAGAGCATGTGCAGGGGAACTCTCCTTTATAAAACCATCGTATCTCATGAGACTCATTCACTATCATGAGAACAGCATGAGAAAAACCTGTTCCCATGATTCAGTTACCTCCCACTGAGTCTCTCCCATGACATGTGGGAATTATGGGAGCTACAACTCAAGATGAGATTTGGGTGGGGATACAGCCAAACAATATCACTAATTAAGCATTATAATAATGAATAGCTTGATAATTACAAATATTTTTAAAAACAAGTCATTATGAGTTACTTGGAATAATCCATAATTGTTACTATATTGTACCATAGACAAAGACTTTGTCTTATTCAACTCTGTATTCTTTGAAATTATTAGTAAAATATTTTAAACACAACAAGTCCTCACTAATTTGGTGTGTTGGATTGATTTTTTAATGCTGTTATCCAAGTGATTAATGAAATTAAATTTTACTTATATTTTTATTTGGGAAAATTCAATTCAGTACCAGGTGGTTTTATTTGAAAAGAAGCCAATAAACTACCCTGAACATTTTGAGAGTAGACCTGTCTATATCCATATATTAATGTTTGACCTGAAACTAATACACCTGATTGAGAAAATAATTAAGGTGTCAGATGGTAAGTGTATTTTATTTAATAAACATTGGTATTGGACATCCATGTGAGGTATTGTTGTAACTTAAAATATTGGGAAAATGTAGCTCAGACAGATATATATATAGGCAAACATACAGATGAGAAGTCTGAAAATATGCCCTATGTTCCTACTGTTTTCAAACTATAGTTATTAGTAGATTTTGTGCCATGTATTAGAACTAGCCCTAAAGCCTAAGTATTACTGAAATCAGAATGTTAAATATGTGAAAGATGTATTTTTGTGAGATGAGGAATTAATTATTATTTTATTTTAGTGCTAGGCTACTTATCCATGAGCTTTATCTACTTTTAAAAATGTAATTTGAGAATTATGGCTGTTTATGGATGTGTGAAAGTAGGAATATTCATATTGCATTGGGGTTAAGCAATCAGAGACCCCATTTTTGCAGGTCTCAACATAAAAGAGGCTGAATATAATAATTGAAGGAGAAAATAAAGATATTGGAAGTTGCAGTTATAAGCAAGGCATAAATTTAGAAGTAAATAGGCATTACACATGTATATAAATAATGTTGGTTGTTACTAAGTGCTTGTCTATTTTGTTTATATTACACTTCTATTACTAATAAAAGTATAGCAATATAAATTATAATTTATGATGAACAAGCTTCAAAATCATGATCAGTCTGTGAGTAAATTATTAGATAGAGTATAGTCTCTGTATTGAGCATGTTAATTACATTTGAAAACTTAATCCTTGAGTATATGTTTCCTACATGACATAGCCTCATTATTTTCTCAAGATATATGTTTATATTTAGTAATGATGGATAATCAGTAATTTCCATGTTAATGTTTATTGGAATATTTTTCTAAAAGAGAAAAAAACACTCTTTTTTCTTCAACAACTATTACTGATGTAACATCCTTTGATAGTTTTCAAGGGTACATTTTATATCCCTCCTAATAAACTGAAATGCTGGGTTTCATCTAGGAAATCTCATGCCCTGCAAGTTTTTTCATATAACTATAAAATATCAGAATGTGGTAGATTTTTTATGTGCTGATTTCATGAATCTCATTAGAAAATCCTGTTACTTTTTTGAGATTGAAATTTTACACTGCTACCTTTGTTACAGAAGATGATTTTTTAAAATGCGTTT
Source organism: Homo sapiens (assembly GCF_000001405.40). Classification (NCBI taxonomy): domain Eukaryota; kingdom Metazoa; phylum Chordata; class Mammalia; order Primates; family Hominidae; genus Homo; species Homo sapiens. The sequence continues at coordinate 124,183,888 of NC_000006.12, forward strand.
TTGATTATCATGTAGAACTACAGAAATAGTGATGAATAGAGACATCTGCCAGCACACATACAGATTGATAATGACTTTATTTGTACTTTGGCCTAATGTGTATCCTGACAGATCATCAAAACAAGAAAAGAAAGAGCTCAGCAGACAGTAAGAAATGGCCAGATGCTCACAGAATGATGAAAAGTCATTGTCTCTTATCTTTTAATGTTCAAATTATGCAAAGAAGACACTTTTATTATAAATTTTAAAAGGAATCTAACTTATCAAACTTAACTGCTACTTCAGGGATATGCCAAACATTCTGGTCTCGAAATGTTTGGTTCTCTTCATCTTCTGTGTTCATCCTCTCCTTTTTCACTATCAGCCTTTCTGCAAACTAGATGTTATCTCTACCTGGGAACCTTGAAGATCTCAAGGGCTCCCAGACCATTTTGTAACTGTTTCCCTACATTTACCTTAGTCTTAAAAACCTCTCTAATACATTCATTATTTCTGGATCCCTCCTTATGTTTTAGCCTGTCTAACTCCTTCTAGCAACAAAATGTAATGTTTATGTCATTCTGGGCCTCATAAGTCATTTGGCACTGTACTCACCACCACCCGAAGAGTCCCTTAATATCTTGGTGAAGATATAGCTGGTATCTTGGTACAGCACTGAGTATCCCTCACTATCTGTACTCTCTGACTGCCCTCCCAGGGAACAGAGAAAAGTAATAAGACTAAGCTAATGGATTCACTATAAAATCACTCATTTTCATAATTGATTGATTTAATTCTGGGGGAAGAAACAACAGGTCTGTGTTTTAACTTTCAAGACTAAAGAGATGTTCTCCTAATTTTGAAAAACATCCCAGATCAACAAAATATCTTTATTTAGTCCCAGAATCAAAGGGAATGGACAAATCTAAACCAAATCCTTGTTAAATACAGACTTACATGATCATCTTGCATTTTTTTTCAGCAACTGTTAACCATGGATTTTAGTGGATGGAACAGTAGACTGGTGACAAGGGAATTAATTAGTAGAAAATTGAATTAATTATTACATAATATACATCTATTTCTATCATTAGTTGGAAGAACAAATGGAAACATTTTCTTCATATTCAAATTTATGACATACTAATTTTCCTGCCTTGAAGTACATCATTTACTCTATTTTTATGTTCATTAGCTTCCAATATAATGATTTAAATGTAAAACATATCTATGTATGTACTATTTCTAGACACTTTGGCTTTAGACAATGAAAGTCATAGCAATTCTACTATATTTGATGTCTTCAACTTGAACTGGACTCTTTCATATTATGAAACTTTCAGATATATTATTATCGTACAGTAGTTTTGTGCAAGTAACTTATTCATTTCATTATAACTGTATTAAAAACAAAACATTTTCAATTTTCACCTAATGCGGTTTAAAATTATGAGTTCTGATTCTTTGGTGAATTCTACAAATTAGAGAAGTCACAGAAGTACTGTGTGTCAGCTACAAAGCCCTAGGGACTTAAACAGAAAACCATCTCCCACCAAACCATAAAAATAAATGCTGATACAAAGAATGTTTTGTATGCTCAAAGAAAGATGAACTTATATAATGAACAATAAAAGACTGTGTCTACTGTCTTTCTCTTTCTACACTAATTGCTTTTATAACAAATCAAAATGTCTAATATATATGATTATTTAATAAGAACAATTCCTTTGAAGTTATTCCTGAAAATCCAAGAAAGTAGAAGTCCTCTCCCTTCAAATACTTCATGAAATAGCATTTTGTGTGTACAAATATACTTTTTATTTATTCACACTAAGTGAAAGCTCTTAATGATAGCCCAGTTTCACAGCTTCTTCTTTTTATGGTTAAACACATCTGTTTGTTTATTGACTCTCCTTTTTGGAATTAGGTTATGGGAGTTCTTAGTATGACAGTTTTAGATATGATACAGAAATAATACCAACATCAAATAATTTAGGGGAAACATGTGGAAATGGAAATGACTAACATTTCCCCTTTGAATATAATTTTGTTAGAAGACAAAATAAAGCTTAGTATATTATTATATAAAGCATTTGCTTGTTACCCAAAATAGGAACCGTAGAAGCTCGGAAAAAAGAAAACTGGGGGCTCCTACCTGTAATTCCAGTGCTTTGGGAGGCCAAGTCAGAAGGATTACTTGAGGCCAGGAGTTAGAGACCAGCCTAGGCAACATAGTAAGACCCTGTCTTTACAAAAAATAAAAAAAAGAAAAGAAAGGAAGGAAGGAAGGGAGGGAGGGAGGGAGGGAAAGAAAGAAAGGAAGGAAGGAAGGAAAGAAGGAAAGAAGGAAGGAAGGAAGGAAAGAGAGAGAAAGGAAAGAAAGAAAAGAAAAAAGAAAAGAAAAGGAGAAAGAAAGAGAGAGAGAGAATAGCTGGGCATGGTGGTGTATGCCAGTAGTCCTAGCTACCAGGGAGGCTGAGGTGGGAGGACCACTTGAGCACAGGAGTTCCAGGTGCATTGAGCTGTGATTATGTAACTGCACTCCAGCCTGAGCAACAGAGCAAGCCCCGTCTTTAAGAGGAGAAAATTGGAAAGTTTTCCACAGTGAACCTTGAGAGAATATCAGGAGACACAATGAAGGAGGTCAAGGGAAATGTGAGGGAGCTTATGACCCTTAAGGAAATTCGATGAAACTATGCAGGTTTATGACAGTCCTTGCCAATCAAGTGAAGCATTTGAAAGTATGCACCTGTGTCTAGGAAATCTATCAGATACCAATATATGTGTTTTCTACCCTAACCAATACTATTGCTTTCAACTTACTATGCCAAAAACTTTATTTAGTATTAAATTAATATGCCTACTGTGGAAAATGTCCATGTATTCATTTTAAATTAGCTAAAAAGCATAAGGAGACTTTAAGAAATGTTTACCTCTCTGTGAAAACAATATAAAATATATAAGCATTAGAGCCACCATGTCAGTTGCTATGCATTTCAGAATTATTCTCTTAAATATTTCATTATTGGGGCTGATTTTTATAATCCTTCTAGGATACCTTAAAACAGAGAATTTTTTCTGACAAGAAAAGTACTGATGATTTTTTTTAAAAATTTTTACTTAAACTGAACTCTATATTTGCTGGTGGCATGATGCTTTTTAGAGCAGTCTGTGGGATTTATCTATTCTATACCTTTCCACATAGCTTTGTTACAACAGAGATGACTATAAAAATTTTAAGGATTTATTTTCTTTGTTTCCTTTTTTCTCAGTTCAGTGGAGTCTTTAATACTTTTCTTAATGTAGCCCTAGCTTTACCTAATGCTATGATAATGCTCACTAACCTGATATGGATGGATTAGAGATGACTTCATAACCTAACCTACCTTGGCATTTTATTTGACTTTATGCCTACTAGTCATTCAAAGACGACTCAGAAAAACCAACATGATTTGAAAACATGTTCTTTTTATTCTGACTCTCAAATGTCATGCTAGTTTAAATTTTGGCATAGATAAAACCATTATGTCACATCATTAAGGGCTTTCTTTATTCTATAGCTCTTTTGTTTATTGCAGCCACCCATAGTCCAATTGGGTAGACAGGGCAGTTTCGGATAAGATCAAAAAGCATATTTTTGGTCTTATCCTAAAGTATGGGCCCTACTTTAGGCGTATTGAAGCAGAATTTCCGAAGGTAGGGCACAAGAAACTGCATTTTTAACACCATTCTCAACTGAAGTTTGATGACTTTTTGATAAACATGCTTATTTTCATTTCAAACTTAGTTAAAATTCTCTGTCTACCGTCCATTGCCTGACCCTCATCCTTTTTAACAACATAGTACATGCATTGGAAGTCACTTATGTCCACGCAACTCTCTATTTTCAAGTTCAGTTTTCCTCTGCCATACCTTCTTTTTCCTCTTGACCCTCCTAAGTACTTTTACTAAGCTGTTTTGAATTCTTGCTCTGTCAAGGACTATCTATACATCCTTAACTATCTTCTAGATTGTTTTAGTCATTTCCTCTTCTTAACCAAGATGTTATTCCATAAGAATGATGCTGTTTGATCTGAAACACTCTCAAAATGAAATTGTGTATTTTTGCCTGTCCATTGTGTCATGGAAGCAATAGATGGTCATTGCTTTCCTTATCTTTCCACCGTAGATCCAGTAGCCTTATTATTCCACATTACTTGAAGTAACATACAAATAATACATAAGCTTTTCAGAAGATGAAAATGCGCCACAGTTCTAGAGCTCAGGAGAAAAAATTTTAAACCTAGTGATTCTACACTTTGCCTGAATTTGGTCCAATAGCATCATATCATGATTCAATCAGAGAAGTAAATTCAGTAGGAAATATATATTAAGAGATTGGTTGCAAAGAATTGGCTCATCTGATTATGGGGACTAGCTGGGCAAGTTTGAAAACTATAGGGCAGGCTATCAGAAGGGGCAAACTTGAACTCTCAGCCACTGGCTGAAGCTTCTATCCATTGGGAGAATTTCTTAAAGAGGTGTCAGCCTTGCCTTTCAATTGATTAAATTAAGCTCATCCAGATTATGTAAAATAATCTCTTTTACTCAAAGTTAACTGCTTATGGACTTTAATCACATTTATAAAATGCCTTCATGGTAACGCCTAGCTTAGTGTTTGATTGAATAACTGGCCTAGGCAAGTTAACATGTCAAAAAGATCATCACATGCAAATTATTTCATGTGAATTTGTATGTATTTGACATAGTTCTTTCTGTGTTGGTACTTGCAGAAAATTGTTTCCTAAATAGCAGTTTTTATGCATTTGAGATACTCACTAAAGTCAATCCTTTTTCTGAAACCCGTTCCCCTAGGGAATTCTATAAAGCTCTGATATGCTGTGGAGCCTATTGGTCAATAGTTTGATAGAATTTATAGCTGTGTTTCAGCCTTTTAATGGCTCTCTGGAAGTCATCAAAATCCATACTTAAATGCCATGTTCAATATAATTAAATATTTAATAGTTACAGAAAATCTCTTAAGCTTTATTCTGATTCCTCCCATAACAGCTTGATTAGGGGAAACATAGCTGTTTACAAACAGTTCTGAGCAAATTTGAAAAATAATCATCTCTGAAGAATTTATAATAATTTGGAGAAACATTTTAGTTAAACACCAGATTTTCTAATACATCACTGATTTAAATGACAGCCACATCATCATTTTGTTGCCAATTGAAATCATGCACACCTAGAAATTTTTTTGCATTAAGGTGCTCACATGAAGGAAAAAAAACGTATTTCTTGCTATCAGAAATAACCCAAGCAACAAACCATGAGATTATTCAGATAAATATAATAAACCACTAATACATGAGACATGATTGTGCTGTGAAAAGTAAGAATGGCCTTTAAAGGGATTGAGCTCTTAACCAGCACAATTTAAAATATTATTAAAAAAGAAACCCATAGAAATGAAACCCTATATTGGACTAAGATTCTATTAGATCTTTAGTATTACAAAAACAACTGCTAACTGTGTGATGTGGTTATTCATGTTTAAAAAAAATGCAAGCCAGGTGCGGTGACTCACCCCTGTAATCCCAGCACTTTGGGAGGCCGAGGTGGGCAGATCACGAGGTCAGGAGTTCGAGACTATCCTGCTAACATGGTGAAACTCTGTCTCTACGAAAAATACAAAAAAGTTAGCCTGGTGTGGTGGCACGCACCTGTAGTCCCAGCTACTCAGGAGGCTAAGGCAGGAGGCGGAGCTTGAAGTGAGCCGAGATTGTGCCATTGAACTCCAGCCTGGGCGACAGAGCAAGACTCCATCTCAAAAAATAAAAATAAAAAATAAAAAGCAAAACACTTGGTACAAAAATGTCCTGGGACAAATTAATAATGGCACAATGCCAGAAACTAGCACATCTTTCCTCCTTAGTGGTAATTAGTGCCTTTTTACATGTTGCACACACGGAGGGAAGAAAGCTCTTCATCATTGTTCTCCCAACTCAGACATAGAAAAACAGAATGTCAGGAACACAATGAGCCTTCATTTTATAGACATTTGGTACTTTGATGTCTGTATTATCTTTTGGAAATTATTCCTTTTAGTGAAAACAATGAAGGTCAGAGGGCAGATTTCCTAAAAGCAGCAATTAATGTGAAGTGTTTTAACTATTGCCTCCTTGTTCCAAAACTACCTGCACATGGCCACAAACATATGAAAGTGAATCTTTGGTGGCCATAGTAAACAATTCAGACCTTGGCCCATAGACAGGGTTACACGTATGGTGGCCCTGTCTTCATAGAGGCCACCTCTAATGTTAAGTTGGAATTGCCAGACCCACTTATTCTTTCTAAGCCTTGGTTTCTTTACTTGTAGAGTAGGTTTAATTATTAGATATTACAGGGTTATCCTGAGGCTCAAATGAGGTAAAGCACTTTGTAAATTATAAAGCACAGTGCAAATGTTAGCAATTACCTTAAATGATTTTAACCATTCAAATGAAAAGTGAGAAATTCCAACCTTGGCATCATGTAGACAAACCATTTGAATGACTGACTCAATTTCTCAGTCTTCTGGAGACTTATTATCATGTAGCTATTTAAAACATGCTGGAATTTTTATCAGATAGTAACCAGTCTGGCAGGTTCTTTTGTGAAGACGTTTGTTGGAAGGATGTGTTCTTTTACAGTGGCTCTATAATTGGCATTTAAACATTTTCTCTTGCATTAAATATCTTTAGTGGTGCAATGTTTTGTTGGAGTTGCAAATTCTTAATAAGCGTATACCCAGATTTTTAATAAGCATATACGGTAGTAAGTGATTCAGTGTAAAATTCAACCAGAAAATATCCATCTTCTAAGATGACAGGGTGTTAGACAAATTACATGTAAGATTAAGACATTAATAGAGAGTTCATTTCTGTCACCCCCTACCATGCCAACTCCACCCCACTCTTTGTTAGATAATATGTGGTCTATTTTTTGAATTCTTTAGAAAATAGACTCTCTTTTTTAGAGCAGTTTTAGGTTCATAGCAAAAATTGAGAAGAAGGCACAGAGATTTCCCATATACTCTTTTTCCCTCTCTATAACATCCTCCCCCACCATCAATATTCTACAACAGAGTGGTACATCTACTACAATTGATGAGCTGATATTGATGCCTCATCACTCAAAGTCCGTGGTTTATGTGAGGTTCACGCTTGCTGTTGTACATTCTATTGGCTTTGACAAATGTAAAATAACATGTAGCGAACATTACAGTATCATACAAAATAGTTATACTGCCCTGAGTGAATCAGCTTGCTGATTTACAAAAACGTTTGTAGAATTTCTAACTGGAATTGCACAAAATATATAGATCCAAATTTAATCTTCCATTTCATGAATTTGGTACAAATCTGATTTATTCTTGTCTTTTAAACATTTCTATCAGTAATGTTTTGTAGTTTCTGTGTATAGGTCTTGCACATCTTTTTTTTGTTTTTGAATGTATTCATAAGTATGGTTTTGCTGCTATGATAAAAAATATTATTTATTAATTTAATTTAAAAAGTTTATATTTCCAGTTTATAGAAATATAACTATTTTTCCATATTAGTCACATATTCTGAAACCTTATAATTTTATTTATTAATTCTATTTGTTATCCTTTTAGTCCTAAACTTTACAAAGATGATCAAGTCACCTCACAACAGTGAGCTGTATGTCTTCCTTTCCAGTATTTATGCCTTTTGCCCATTTGCCTTACTACTCTGGCGGCTAGGACTTCCACTACAATGTAAATAGATATAATGAGAGCAGACATCTGTGTCTGGATCCCAGAAATGCATTCATTCTTTTATCATTAAGTATAAGGTTAGCCCTTGGTTTTCCAGATGGCTTTACAAAGTTGAAGTGTGTCCTATCTACTCATTCCTAGTTCACTAAGAATTTTTTCATGCATGGTTTTGAATTTTATTAAATGTTTCTTCAGTATCTATCAAGATGATTATATTACTTTACATTTTATAATCCTTCATTTTTTCTAAGTGTTCAAATTTATTGGTCTAAAGATGTTGGTAATATCTTATCCTTTTCATATCTGTAAATGGTATTCCAAAATTTCTTCTGATACTGTAATTTTTGTTTTTACTTTTTTCTTAATTAGTCTTCTTAGGAGTTTATCAAATTTATTAATATTTTTGAAGACTCCACGTTTGCTTTGATTTTTTTCCTATGGTTTTCCTGTTTTCTATTTCATTTATTTCTGCTGTTGAATCATTTCTTTTTGCCTACTCACTCTGGGCTACATTGCTCTTCTTTACTTTTCTTCTTACAGTTTCAAATTAGGTCACTGCTTTAAATTTTTTCTCCTTTTCTGATATAGACATTTACAACCATAAAGGTCCCTCCAAGCACTATTTTCACAGTATCCCACTATTTTTGATATGTGTGTTTTTGTGATCATTTCATTTGAAAGAGTTTCTAATTTCTCATTGTGATTACTTCTTTGATTTATAGATTATTTAGTGGCATGTTATTTACAAATAATATGAGGTTTTTCTAAATACTTTACTGATAGTGATTTCTAATTAAATCCTGTTTTGATCAAAGAACATATTGTATAAGACATCAATCTTTTGAATTTTATTGCTAATTATTTTATGACCAGGCATATGGTCTATTTTGGTGAATATTCTCTGTACACTTGAGAAGAATGTACATCCCACTGTTGTTATGTGTAGTGTTCAATAAAAGTTAATTAGGTCAAGGGAATCAATAGAGTTGTTTAGATCTAATATATCCTTACAGATTTTTTTTGTTGGTTACATGTTCTGTAATGTTCTGAGAGGATTTTAATACTACCAATTGTGGTGTTGTCTATTTCTCTCCTTAGTTCCATCCGTTTTTTTTTTTTTTTTTTTTTTTTTTGAGACAGAGTCTCGCTCTGTCGCCCAGGCTGGAGTGCAGTGGCACGATCTCGGCTCACTGCAAGCTCCGCCTCCCGGGTTCACGCCATTCTCCTGCCTCAGCCTCCCGAGTAGCTGGGACTACAGGCGCCCGCCACCGCGCGCAGCTACTTTTTTGTATTTTTAGTAGAGACGGGGTTTCACCGTGTTAGCCAGGATGGTCTCGACCTCCTGACCTCGTGATCCGCTCGCCTTGGCCTCCTAAAGTGCTGGGATTACAGGCGTGAGCTACCGCGCCCAGCCAGTTCTATCCATTTTAACTAATGCATTTTGAAGCTCTGTTATTGGGTGCATACACATTTAGAATTGTTATGTCTTCTAGATTATGTTATGGCATACTTCAGGTGTTGCTTTTCTGGCTGGAAACTTGTGGCCAGTGGTGCCTCTGCCCGAGTTTTGCGAGGGCCCCTTGGGCCCATTTGGCCCGGCAAACAGGGCTCAGTTCGCACTACCAGCCGGGATCTCATGCCTGCCAAGGGCAAGCAGGGCAGCAAGGGGTGTGTGAGTGAGCGAGCATGTGGTCTGGCCACTGCCCATAGCCAGGTATGCTGGCTGCAGCAGGGCAGGCAGCTCCAGGCGCCAACATGAGTGCTAGCTCCCTGCAAGTGTGCAGCTGCACCAGGCATACCATAAGCAGTTTCCATGACAGACACCAGGGAATGTGGCTGGGCCCAGAAACTTGGAGACACCAGGAACCGCAGAGCCCTAAGGAAGGAGTCAAAGCCCTGGCTCTGGGAGCTCCTATGTCTGGCTCCCAGAAGGGCCGCAGCTCTTCTCTCCTTGTCACCCGCAACATTGTGAGCAAGGGACGTATTTCAGCCCTGTTTGTTTTACAGCTCTTTTAGCCCTGCCATTCAGTAGGTCCCGAGTTCTTGTTCTGTGACCAGGAAGAACGAGGTATGCAGACAAGTGGAGGGTGCGCAAGGAGAAGAGGAGCTTTACTGAGGGTAGAGCAGCACAAAGGAGACCCACAGCGGGTAGCTTCTTTCTGCTGCCAGGGTGTCCTGAGGAGTGTTCAGGTCCTAGCAGAGGGGAAACCCTAGAGTGGGTAGCTCCTCTTGGCAGGCAAATCATTCCATTGAGTGTTCAGCTCCTAGCAGAGAGGAGACCCTGGAGTGAGTAGCTAATCTCCACAGCTGGTTGTGTCATCATCTGTTTAGCCCTCAGCAGAGAGAAGACCCTGGAGCCGGTAGATACTCTTGCAGGCAAGTCGTCCCATTGTCTCTTAGTCTGAATGAGTCTGGGGCTTTTATGGGTCTCAGTGGGGAGGACGTGCACTCCGATTGTTCCATGGGTGGCCATGGGTGGGCCCAGAAAAAGCACCACAAGTTCCCACTCTGGTCAGCAAGACCAGCAGCCCAGCCCCCAGGCTTCAGCCACTGCCCCTAACCTGCTTGAAGGTGGGGCTTCCACCCAAGATCTAGTCTGCCTCCTGCCCAGACTGCCCACCACTGCCATCAATCTCCTAACATCTTTTGCCTTATTTTACTTTAATTTAATGTAGCCATACCATTTTTTTGTGTTTACCATTTTCATATTACATGTTTTCTTTTTATCTTCCTTTCAACATATCTGTTTCTGTTATTTAATGAGCATCTTTCATTGACGGCATACATTTGTGTTTTTCTTTTATATCTACTCTGGCAATATTTTTTAATTGGAATGTTGATACATTTATATTTAATTAATGGAATTTGATTTAAATCTACCATCTTATTACTTGATTTTCGTACATTCCTTCTGTTTTTTTCTTCTCTTGCCTACTTTCTGTCTTCTTTGGGGTTAATCAATATTTATTCACATGTTATTTTATGATTTTTTTATATTCTAGGTCATAGATGGCTTAGGTATTTATTGAGATTTCCATAGTACACGATGCTATATTATGTCTTTTTATTTCTGCATATAGTATTACTAGATCAACTTACAAAATATAACTAAGAGGACTTCTAGTTTACTACATATAATGGAAGGGAAGAGAGCCAATAAGAACTACTTTCAAATTTTTGGTAAGCTGTCATGCCATGGACTGGAATAGGGTGCACTAAAGGATAAAAGGCAAGAATTCTTGGATTTAATTTTGTACATTTTTAATTAGATGCCTGTAAGTCATTGAGAAGTCGAGGGACATCCTTGGTACCAGCTTTAAATGAAGAGGTGAAAGTTTCAAATTATTTGTCATATTATTGGCTTTTTTTTTTTTTTAGTTTTAAAGTATAAAGAATATAAAATGCAATTTTTTTATTTTTTGTGTTCTATTCTGAAATAATATTAAACATTATAAATTTAATTCTTAATGTTTAATCATAATAAGTATTTTTATACTTATTATATTCCTTTGAATAGCCTTTTTTATTGTCAAGGAAGTTTTTTAAGATAAATTAGTCTCTACAAATAATGTGCTCCATATTCCATGACCTTAGAGTAAATCAGTTCTACATTAGTTGTGAGATCTCATTAAAACTACATCAATTTCCATAGAATGTATTTATTTTAAAAATTACTTTGTCAGGTTTAAAATTATTTTCTTAAAACTAGTTAACTCAATGAAGTGGATTCAAGTTTGGATCTCTTCACAATAGGAAACAAATTCAATGTTAGCTAACTATCCCCTGCTGTTCAGTCTCTTGCCAGAAAGCTACAGCTTTCTGCCCACACTTACTTGCTAGACATTTGATTTAATAACTGCACATTCATATATATTTTTTGAAAGGAATGCTGAAAACTTCTCATTTGTGTATGAGTAAACTGAATCCCAAAGAGTTGAGAGATTTGTCCAAAGGCAGTGAAGTCACTGATACAAGTGAGAAACTTGGATAAAGCACAATCTCCTCACCTTTCCTCATTTTTTATTTTTAATTTCATTTCATAACAATTCCTCAATGGAAAAGTAAATCATTCCATGATCTCAAAAAGCTGTGATGGATCTATGAGCTACTGAGTTTATAAGTTAATTGCTCCTTTGTTAAATAACTTTAAATGGCTATTTTTTTGTTGTTGCGGTGTTTTTTAAATATTCATCTCCCATTTCCTTCACTCTCAGCCATCATTTTGGCTACTATCCCAGTGTTGCCTCAAGTACCCCTTTTTCCTTTCTTCAAATTTGCTCCTTCTAGTGTACTTGGGAAACACTGATATTAGCCCAATTTTCTCTAATACATACATTTAAAAAAATTTGTACTAAATATTATAAATTTGTTCACTCTTTAATTGAAGATATGCAAATATCTACCACTAAAAACAATTATGGGTTTAAGAAAAGCTATTTCTTTCCAACAAACTAGTGATTATACCTCATTATCTGATTTGAGATTCCAGTCTTAATATTTTCATATATTTTTTAAGTACTAGCTCATTCACATTCATCATTAACTATTTAAGACAAAGCATTGTCTTGAAAAGTAAATACTTATCCGGGTAACTATAACTCAAAACACAATACCTGATTGTTTTGTGTGTGTTCACAAAATATTAAAGATTATATGACAATAACAAAGAACATACATTGACTGCTTTCCAGGTGGCATGTACTGTGCTTATTCTTCACAATAACTCTACAGACAAGAAGGTTCCACTATATTCCCCATATTATATATTTGGAAAGTGATGTTTACAGAGATTTTAAAAATTGCCAAAGTAAATCATATAGTAAATTATAGTCATCATTTAAACAGATTTGGTTTTAATTGTGAGCCTGAGACTTCAATTATCATGCTCTAATGCCTATTAACACTGAAACAGGTTTCAATTTGTATGTTTATATACCCAACCTTTGCATCTTGGATACACAATTTTATTATTTGCTTTGCACTAACACTCTTACACATTCAATTTTTCATAATTTTAAATTAAAGATTTTCACAGTCCATCCTCACAATGCATTCAGTGTTACATTTTGATCTTAATTATATTTGCAAATTTAATTGAACTATTAATATTGAAGATCAATCAGTGTCTAATATAAAACATAATATATTTGTATCATGGTGATTTTAATTTATTTTATAAAAGTTTATTCGTGCTTGCTTTATTAATATGTTTTCATTTTCAAACTGAGCTAAAATTTGTGGATTTTCCCTAATAAAGATTAATAAGGAAGAACCTCATTGTCATGAGATATAGACATGCACAAGAACATATTCAAGAATTCCTAGTTTCATTAAGGAAAGGTATTAAGAAGGTTGTAGTCTATATCATTAGAGAAAGAAAAAATGTTTACTAAATCTGGAATAGTATGCTTATTGGTATCATAGTCAATGTTCTTTAAAATTTTCTTTATATATATTTATATAGTTTTTCTTTAAATATATTTAAATTGTAGAAAATAATATTTTGAAATTATAGTCTTTGTCTGCTATTTCCATCTTTTATTTTAAAATACTGCATTTATTTTTCTCTATGCTAAATTCATAAGTGTTTTGTCCCCAGTTCATAAATGTTACTATGTTTCTTTCTAATCTTTCTTCTTTTTTTTTCTCTTCCTTCTATGGCCTCTCTTTCACTCTGTTTTCCTCCCACTTTCCACCCCACCAGCCTTATATGGCTTTGTATTGTTCGACAGTCAATACAGTTTGTGTCCCCTTGGAGGAGCTCACTTCTCTTTGGAATTCAGGTTATTTGGTTGTATTATGACTACAACTTTCCAATGAATTCAAGAAAAGTTATCGTTTTATAGATTATTTGGTCTATTTTCATTGTTTAGTTGGCTGGGACACTAATAGAAGCTTTCTATACCCTAAGTAGAAGTGGAAATCCTGCTCTTCATATCGTATTTGCTTTTAAAGTCAAATTTATTACATTACCATTTTGTACAGTAAAATTCACCCTTTTACATGAACTATTTTACTCATTTGGACAATGAATACAGGAATATAAACATCACTGCAGTCAAGATTTTAAAAATCTTACCATTGCCCAGAAAGGTCCTTCATGCCCCTTGGTAATCAATCTCCTCTCTTACTACCCTTTAATACCACTGATCAGTTTTCTGCCTCTGGGATTTTTCCTTTTTCAGAGTATAACCTGTGTCTGGTTTTTTTTTTTTTTTTTTTTCATGATTTTGTTGCATTTATGAGTGCTTCCTTCCTTTTTATTACCAACAGCATTCCATTATTATATAGCTCCAGAAACTCAGTACCAACTGAGATATTTACATCTGAGAAGGGCCAGCTTTCGAAATCTGCCAGGTTACTAGTTTGTGGGGATTGAGTGACTCTGTTCAGAAATTAACTGGGTTTGGGATTTTTCATTGCTGTATGTACTTGTTGTACATCACGAGTTTAAATAACTCTAGATATGGGCTACCTTTGCCCATAACTCCAATAACTCTAGATATAGGCTGTTTTTGCCATGTACCACGTGAAGGCTAGGATAATGGAGAGTTTTCTTAGTATGAATCCGCTGGCCCCGCTTTTAGCCATTCCTATAGGTATGTGCTATACCTATAGGAGAACTGTTAGTGCTTACGTCCTTATTTAGCAGTAGACTGCAGTTGTTTAGTACTTCATGCTCCGCCCGTGTTGTGGGGATAGCAGTTCTCTGTTGTTTTGGCCCAGCCACAGTTCTGGGAAACCCATGGAGCCTGGACTCTGGGTGGAGAATTCTCAGTATGCCTTTCACTCTTCTGCTTGACAGTCAAACTCTCTGCCTTGTATTTGTTGTAGATCTTGACCTTGAGTGAGAGTTTCTCTTCTTCTCTATTGATAGGAAGCTTTGAGTGGGTATAGGATTGCAGTTCCAAGAGTTTCCCACCCTTCTTATAATCACAATAACTCTGAGTTTTTTCCTTTTCTTTCCTTTCCTCAGCCGTGGTATATCTTTACTGCTTCTCTCCTGTGGCTTAAGACCTTTTGCTCTGCATGAGAGAAGAGTCCAAGGAATTGCACAGTATTTTGTGTGTGTTCCCCACAGCTGCTCATTCTGCTCCTGCCTGTCTGCTCTCCCAAGGGGCATTTTTATGGTGGTCCACGTTCTTTGGCAGTTGAGACAGTTTGTGTGTCCTGTATCTCCTTGTAGGGACTCACGCTTCTTTGTAATTCAGGTCATTTGGTTGCATTATGACTATAACTTTCCAGTGAATTCCAGAAAATTTATTTTGTAGGTTATCTGGCCTATTTTTATTGTTTGGTTGTGTGGGACACTTTGCGCCTTTCAACATCTTCAGTGGGGGTGGAAATCCTCTTCTTTACGTTATTTTATAATCTGCTTTTTGAACTTACAAATATATTTGAAGCAACATTCCTTTATAATATTAAAATGATGTGTCCCACAATTTATTTTACCAATATGCTATTTTTAGATTTACTTTGCGGTATCTCCTTTGAAAAATTGTAGTTAGACGACAGGATTTTGCTTGGCACAAACACTGGCGTGACAACAGATCTCCTAAAAAGTGTCTGGATACAAACATTCTGGTCTTTTAAAAAAGATTTTTAAGAAGGAAGTAGAAGAAAAATCCATCACATTAGTTGTAAGTTTCCTTCTAAATGAATTGATACGGTGTAATCTTTTAAAGAATCATGAAAGGTGAATGCGAGATCTGGCTGCAGTCCCATGTCCTTGCCCTCTGCAGTAGATTTCTCCTCTGGAATGCACATTCAGTTTTCTGCTTCAAGGATGACCAGTGTTCAGGGCTCACATTCATTCTCACTCCTAAATTATGTGATGCTTCCTTTCTTTGTTTGACATCTTCAAAGTGAAAAGTGTCATTGCCAGGGAAGCATGAAGATATAGTCAGTCCCAAAAGGCTGTCTGGAAAAATTACAGAAAGCTCGGTTCTTATTGGATCAAAAAATAAATGTAGGGAGAAAATATGAATATGCATTTCTACACAAAGAATTGGATTTTCTTAACTGTTTAAAGATCACATTGTGTAACATTTTACAGTATGGGGTGCCACAATCTGGATGTATCATTTTGAATGCGATAACTAGAAAATAGGTAACAAGAAAATTAACTTGATGTTTTCAGTATAATCAAAGCAAAGGATTATTTTGACTAAATTGCCAAACCCTTATGTAAGCACAGTGCACCAAAATGTATTTCTTAATAGTAGTGAAGATTCAACCTAAACTTGGAGAAACAAAACAAATATATCATCGAGAAAAAGTATAGTGTTGAACTAATGACCTTTCAGAAGCATATAAATGTTATTGTTTGACATTCTAAAATCCTCTTTTAAGTAATTTTAAAAATGTAAGTAAGGATAGAAGGTATGAGGAAAATTAGCTAAAAATAATCAGTGAAGAAGATACCTTGTTCTCCATGAACCCAGATTTAAATTTTGCATGTTTTATATCAGCTCTGTCAGGCTTTGATTATCCACAGCCAGATGACAATGAAATAAAGTAAGTTATGAAGCATTTGCCAATGAACACTCACTGCCTCCTTATTCGCTTTCACTTGCCTAAGGCAGCCTATAGCTCAGGAGAAAGCTTCTGAAACCATATGTATAGTCTTTCCTTAAACTCAGGAATATTTGTTATAACAGCATAAATATTTAAACTTCTCATAGACATGCATCAGTTTGAGGGTAATCCTGTCTATATGGGATAAGGAGTAAAGCGCAGGAAATGTACTGCTCTAGGCAAGGGGTCCTTGCTGTGTTTTGTTCGCTGTGAGTCCTTCAGAGTAAAGCCTCTGGATTTTGAAGTGCTGTGAGTTCATCATCATTAGATACTTATATTCAAACAAAACCCTAAAAATGCATTTCTGAAACAAGTATATATTGCATTTCTCCACTTTTCATTTAAAATATGCTAATATTTAAATCACCTACCACTTCATGAGTATCTTAGATAAATTTCACATATGTATTGTCTTTTCCAAGAATTAAGAATTATATTATAAGAACAGCACAATAAATTGTGCCTCGTCTTTTCTCAATGAAGCTTGTCCAATTATTTGAGTGCACTGTACTTTGAAGTTCATAATCATTACCTTCTTTTTTCTTTTAACTTTCTAAAGTGAAGACCTGATTACTGCCATATGACTTGTGCAAATATTCCACTTTGCAATATGTGCTGCATATAAATGTGCGGTTTGTATAGTAGGGGGTAAAATGGGCAGCTTTCCTGCCATCTGCGTGCTAATTAACCAGTGTAGAACACAGTCTTGTCATAGGAAAAAGCCGTCTTCATTTCTACAGGGTGCAAATTATGTTGCCAGGATCACAAGGACAGGGTCAAAGTTGGCTGTCAGCAATGGTTGTGGGTTTAGTTTGTGCTTTGAAAAGACCTAGGAATTTTAAATTAATACATAGACTTATACTTCCATATCTAATGTATACATCTACATAAACAAGCTGTAAACATAAAACAAAAAATAACTGGCCTTTTACATACTAATACATATTTGTTCTGGATCATTTTCTGTTGGCATCTGATTTTCTCTAAGACTTACACACCATGCTGTTACCTCTCCATGGCATGTGGTGGGGGGGCGATGGTGATTAAAGTATGACATTAAGTGTACATAGAAACATAATTAAAATAAATATGCATTAATGGTTCTCTTTAAATATAGTGACCCATGAATTAACTTTTTGGTATGATTAAGAATGAAAGTTTTAAAGGCATCCTTTAGCATTAAAATTCAAGTCAGCACCAATGATTCTAATTAGTGGGAATTCTAGCGGGGAAAGTAGTTAAGGGAAATTAGTTACCTATTGTTTTGAACTATAATTTTAAAATGTAGTTATGTTTGGAAATGGATTGTTAGCAAACATGGATGTATGCACATCTGTAACTTGTGCTCTAGACTGCCAAAAAAATCAATAATTGAAAATGAAATAACACAATATTTTGCATGTTATGTCAACGTAATTACTCTCGTAATTAAAACCTCAAGGAGTGAGAAGGATAGTACGTCAGTCCTGTGGCCATACATAGAGATACAATATTCGTTTTCACGTCCTTTCAAACATGTGCTGCAAAGATGGTAGAAAATGAAAGAAAAGTTATCAAATGGTAGCTAAATGATCTGCCTATATTCTTAGGTGATTATGAAAATGTTCTCACTTTGGAATTAAAAGTGTATTGTTTTATCCTTCATCAAAGTGAGAGAATAACTTCAAATAGGATAAGATTTATTTTCTATATACCTATTTTCTTTTTGTATTTTCTGCACAGATTTCTATTAACGTTTGAGCTTTCAAAAGCATATTTCATGTTTGGTTGTGTATTATCAACAAACGTGGTTAGCTATAATTCTCAGACTACCTGTAAAAGATATCTAAGGCTATTTTTCCTTGTGGGCAGAGTGGCAGTGGTATGACTACAGGAGTATTGAAAGATGTGTATGTCTGAAAAATATGACCTTTTAACTAGCAGGGCCATTATTTAAGTTAAGGGGATCTAGAATGTCCCTGAAAAAAAGTAAGGAGCTAATATTTCCTAAGATTACACATTAAGCATTTAAGCCAGTTGCACCTGTAAATATATTACTTTATTCTGTAAGTCCCACTTAACATATCAGCTCTGCTGTGAAGTTTTCCCTTCTTCTCAACACCAATTTAGGTGCTCCTCAGTGTTCTCACAATTGGCTTCGATTCCTTAGCGAGGCAGAAACCAAGTCTAATTATGTTTTTTATGCACTGGAGTTAGGTGAGCATATTAAGTACACAAAATCTTTGTGGACTGAGTGAATAAAAGAATATACATTCATTCAACTGTTGTTCTAACATACAGCAAGTCCTTGAGGGAATTGCATTTCAGTAAGCTTTGGGGGAGAGGCCACATCCTGAGGGGAAAATGTCCAGACTTTGGAATTGGACAGAACTGATGGAATCCTGATACTATTACTTATTGCCTATTAAAAATTAAAAAAGTCATTTAACACCTTTGAATGTTAGGATTTTTTTTATTCTAAGGAATGGTGACAAACATGGTATCTTGCAAAATTGTTGGGACAGCTGGACACGTTACCCCTAAAATGCCTGATGATGCCTTTTCACCCACAATAGATGTGCTACAAGTAATAGCTCTTTTTTAATGAATGAGAAAGACTTCCAGAAGCTTATGAGGGAGTTATATGTAGGATTCTTGGCCAAGTCATAGAAAGAAATAAAAGAAATAAATAATAGATGGCAGTGATTGTGGCACCTACAAGAGGCATAAAGTTGTAATATTGTGTACTCACTAATTTAGCACAACATTATAGGCATGTAACAAATTTGTTGGTTCATAGTTTCATTAATTTTTGTCATGTAGTATAGCTCTGTCATATAATGTGCTGTCTGTTTAAATGTTAAGAACAGACTGTAAAAGTAGAGTTTAATTTAAAATTTGCTCAATCTGTCTGTTTTGTACCTTAAGAGTCATTGAAATATTTTCCCCTATAGAATGTGAATGTTGTCATTAGAATTGTATAGATTTTTAAAATAGTTTGTTGAGGGGGATCACACATGGTGCTAGAACATTATTTGTCATTCTAGTCCTTCCACCCACTAGATTATCAGTGATATCCAATGGCTGATTTTAGAGTAGAGAATAACTGAAGAGAAAACAATTACATATTGCCTAATGGAATGTCACTGAGATAGCTGTATTAAAACTATGGGTATTTTTGTTTTACTTTTGCAATTTCATGGGTATTTTTATCACAGGCTCAAAAATACTGCCTGTGCTTAGTTGTGTTCTCTAGTGGCTCACTCTCAAGTGAAATTCAAACTATTAATTATTAAAATATTCTAATTTTTAAAATTTTTTTCCAGAGAATTTTAAGGCAAATTCTGGCTTTCACAGTAATGATAGGTAAATCTAAATAAGCATGCTGAGAGAGAAAGGGCATTAGAGTGTACAGGTGGTTGGAGTGGTTGAAGGAGACATTCAGTTCCAGTGATTCATCTGGAAATTTCCTGTTACAGTGAACCTCCAAGTTAGGCCTGCTGACAGCACGGGAGCAAGTATCTTGAAAAGATCATAGTGAGAATTAGAGAGAGGATATGGTGTGAAATCTGGGCAAATTATATCTACCCACAATATTACACATTCTTTTTTTTAAACGGTATGAGTTTACTAGGTTTAAGTGTCACGAAAGATGAAATATGCAAAAAGTAATAAATTGAGCCCACTTTTAAGATGGTAATAAGATCATTTAATACATGTGTAAAACTGCTAAATGATTTCGCAGAAGGATTGCTTCACCTCTGAGTGAATCATAAACTCATAAACAAGCATTCAACAGGAGATCAATGCTGTTTTGTAGTGCACACACTATTGCAGCATCTGCTCCAATACAAAGATAAATCCAGTGCAAACCATGTGTTTTACTTTTTGGGCCAGCATCCTTATCCTGCTGCTCTTATTACACCTAAACTATAGCCTTCAACAATCTCATTTCTGATTAAGTAGAAATCAGTTGCAGGTACACATACTACTAATGTTTGTATCAAGATAAATGAGACATAAGACTAAAACACAAGCTCCAAAATAAGAGACATTTTACATTTTGCAAAAGTTGACTGTAGTAAATTATTGAAATTTGGTATAGGAATAAATTAGACAAAGATGAATAACTTCATATTAAGACATGAAATAAGCCATTTACCTATGGGACCAGTAAATTACAGATTTTTTAGGTTTTAAATCAGATAGACACTTTTGATGACTCACTTTAAAAGCATAACTGACAAAAAAATATGAAAAAATAAATGAGAGGACTTTCTATTTGAAATCGTAGGCCCAGAGAGATTATTGCTTCTTTTGATTACCACATTAAGTATAAGACATAATTCTTTCTTTTATTTTTGATTTATTTGGACGGTTAAGTGGTCATGTTAGCAATGTGACAACTATACCAATAATAGCAAGTTGTAAACTGTCAAAGGGCAACTATTCATCAAGAAGTATATTTTAATATAAGACCAGGCGTCTAATATGACTTTGAAATTGTTCATGATTAGATTGCTAGCATATTCTAGGTACCCAAATGACATTTCTCTTGGACATGGATGAACTGAAAATCATGAAATTCAAAGCCAGGTTATATGCAGCACTTATTAATTTAGCTAATTTGATGTGTTTCTTAATCTTTCAGTGAGTACAGTTTCTTAGCATATTACTATAATACAGTCTGCTTCCTAAATAACTTTAGGAAATAATATTAAAGAGATTTTTTATGTCATTATATTTATTCATATCAAGAACATCAAGCACTTATCCTCTGCATCTAAAAAAAAGCAAAAAAAAAAGCCTATATATCAAATTTTAAACTTTATTATTATTATGACATTGATACATTATAGACAACAAAAACAAACAAAAAGAAAGAAATGTCCCAGGTAACTGTTTCACAATTACACACTGCATTTTGTTAGTTCATTTGAATATTTCCCAAATGGTTTATTGAAAATAGTCCATAGGCCAAATATTATGCTAGATGAAGATGGCTATGAAGGTTAATGAGACATGGACAATTCCGTGAGGAAGGGCGCAGCATCTCTCAGTATATTCAGTTAGATGCTTCTACACGAATTTTCCAAATTATATAAGCTAATTTTAAAATGTTGGACAGCAATTCTAGAATACTCTGGGTTACTCTGCATTTTCTTAGGTGCTAAAAAAAAATCTCTTAATTTGTCATCTTATTGGAAAAGTCTTATATAATGTGTCTTATCTTTACCTGTCTTCCTCATGCATTTCTGAATACTTTTACTCTACTGGTACCTGAACACATGTTTATCTCTCCAAGAAGTATCCCAATTGTTTGTTTGTTTTTTTCACTAAGTCGTTCATATCCTTTTACCCAGTCATCAAAATAGATTATTCTTCTCAATTTTAGAGTCTGCATATAAACAAAACTTCTATTTTCATTCATATTTAGGGCTACTAGATTAACTTGTGACTCTTCTAAAGATATTCACATTTACAGAGGATACTTTGTGATATCATATCTGAACTCAAGGGCATGGATCTACACATAAGAAAGTAAAGAAGGAAAGTCATTAGGAAGATATCTTAGGGCTGAAATTTGTGACAATCGCTTCAGAGCAGTCCATGTTTGTTCCACAAATTTGTTTAAGTAATTATAAATACCTGCTCTGAATAACAAAATGTCTTTAGTTTCCCATATTTTCCATTCTTAAACAACAGGTTTACTGTTATCCGTAATATACCTTAGTATGTATCTGTGGAAGCATTCTACAAAGAACACAAATATGTGAGCAAGAGCAAAATATTCACTCATCTCCTGATTTTGATGGGAGAAATGGTCATAGTTTAGAACCCCTTCTGAAAACACATGTGAATGCACAAGTGAACTTACAATTATTTCCCAACCACAGTAATCAACAAGACATTCCCAAGTGTGTTTGAGTTCTTCCAGAGCTCCTACTTGTGAGTGTCAAGTGTAGCCATCAAGTGTAATTTTCTATTACTTTTTCCTATTTAAGCACGAGCCTAAAGAATTAACCACGTGTTGTGCTAGTTGTTTCTTGGTATTTTTTTCTTTTTCTTTTTTAGCAATCACTGAATTTTGTCAATTTTATCTCACTGTTGTGAAGAACAAAATATATATAGCAAAATAAAGATTAAGCGCATAAAACAAGCCTGAGAGTGATTCCCTACTTGCTTAAGGGAACACAGATATTTCTATAAATCAGAAAGTTTGTTAGATTGTAATATACCAAGTCTCAAGAATGTCAAATTTAAGAGATTGTTTTTTAGTAGAATCAGTCCTGCCTACCTACAGAATTGTTGTGTTTTGGGCTTCCAATGAATTTGAAAATGCATTTAAATACTACTGAGTATTCTAATATTTTTAATTGTATTTTTGTTACTCCATTTTCCCCCTGAACTTGAATCATCATCCACAGTATCAGAATATTATTCTATCAGTTATCTTTTTCTCTTCAGAGTCATATTGCTGCCCGTGTTCACAATTTATAGTTTTTCTTATTTTAATATCTTTCTTTTCTTTCACACTCTTTTAAAGATGATTTTAAAGGACCTAGGTTACTTAGTTCGTATTTCTTTTGATGGGAAATACAAACAATCTGTAAACATGGGATTAGCACAAAGACTAACAAGTCAAGGTCAGTTTAGCTTCCAGCCTCAAAACTTGGATCTCTAGATGATATAGTGATAATATTTCCTCTAGGTCCAAAATACGGGATTAACATCTCATATCTCCTCTCTCCATTAAAAAGTTTATGAATTTTGGACAAACAATGGATTGGTCAACTATATGTGGTCAAGAAACACAGTTTCAGCTAAGCTAAATACATTAAATTATGTATATAATTATATATTATATAATTATGCATATAACCTGTCAGTGCCCAGTAAGTGTTTTCTGAATAAATGGATAAGCAAATATTGTTTCAACATAATAAGGAACTTTGCCAGGTGCTAAGGCTCACACCTGCTTTCCCAGCTACTTGGGGGGCTGAGGTGGGAGGATAACTTGAGCCCAGTAGTTTGATGCTACAGTGAAACATGTTCATACCACTGTACTCCAGCCTGGGCAACAGAGAAAGATCCTGAGTCAAAAAAGAAATGATGATGATAATAATAATCGGGAACTTAATTCCAAATCTATTTAAGGCACTCTATTAAGGGGCTCTTATCTTAATCTCTTTATAATTTTAAGGATACTTTCTAAATTTTGTTTGTTCCATAGGGAGAATAAAGTATATGTTTCTAAATAATTTTCCATACTAGATAGTTACATCCTTCTCTGTGTTGCCATATGATTTTTACAGTTTTACTATAGCATTTCTTTAATTCTGCTTATTTTCTCAATTGCACTTCCTGGGCAGGTCTTTTTGTTTAAATGTTATGTTTACCTGCCATGTACTAAGCTTGGCACATAACTGCTCAACAAATGTTTTAGGAAAGAATGAGTAAATGAACTTTAAAAATACTGATTTTTTGTTCAAACTGAATAATTTACCGTATTTCTGTTTTTAAAAGACAGTAGTGAGGACTATCTGTTTTGAACTGCATAAAATAAACCCTATTTTGTTTTGATTTCAGTAAAGTCAATAAATATTCATTTGCTATCAAGGCAAAAATCTAAGCAACATAAAGTACAAATAATTTACATGTTGCTAAATTTGAGATGCAGACAATTAAATATTAATTTTGCTAAATAATACAAAAATTGTGTTACATGCACTAGAATTCTAGACTTGTATTCTGCAGGATGAGTCTTACTGGCTGCTGAATATTATATTTGTCTGGCTACTTGCTTTTGAAGAATGTACTTTAATTATTGTTAAAATACTAGAAAAAGCATTTTAAGGTTTTTGTCTTGGTGGCTGTTCTTGTGTTAGCTGTGGAGAGTACAACATGGACAAAAGTAACTCAAGCTGTAGGCTACAATAGACTTGATTCAAATTCTGGCTCTATTAGCAGGCTGCTTTGTGATCTTGGCTAATTTATTTAGCATCTCAGCCTCAATTTCTTGATATATAAAATTTGAATAATGATAATAATACTTCAAAGAGTAGTTGTGTGGGTCCAAGATTTAGTATAGCCCCTGGATTGTCCTAAGTTCTCAGTGTAATTTAGCTAGTAGTGCAGTATTTATTGTTAATGTTGTTCACATATTAAGCTGTATTATCAAACATATAAACCCAACATTTTTCGGTAGAAAGCTAGATTTTCCATATGATGACCACTGATGGCATCATAACTGAACAATAAAATATATGTTTCTAACTAGTGTGCTAGAAAAATAATTGTTAGGTGTTCTTTTCATATACTGATATAAATATATGTAAAAGTTAAAAATTTAAGCAATTCCAGTTAATAGATAATTATATTTAACAATCCCAGATATATTATATTTACCTTAGGCTATGTTATGCTGTATGTTTATATAAAATATACTATATTATATTTTATCCTACATAAACTGTAATCAAAATATATCTTTATTGTATTTTTCTGGTTTTCTAAATAATTATATTTGACAGGAAATTCCTGTATATATTATTCCCTCAATGCATGCAGAAAAATATTTATTTATTTAATTATTTTGTTTTTCTATGCTTTATTTATTTAAAACTTTTATTGTTAATTATTATGGATGCATAATAGTTGTAGATATTTATGGGGTATATATGATATTTTGATGCAGGTATAGAATGTGCAA
Organism: Homo sapiens; assembly: GCF_000001405.40. Taxonomy (NCBI): domain Eukaryota; kingdom Metazoa; phylum Chordata; class Mammalia; order Primates; family Hominidae; genus Homo; species Homo sapiens. The sequence continues at coordinate 124,208,904 of NC_000006.12, forward strand.
TGATCAAATCAAAGTACTTGGGGTATCCATCATCTCAAATATTTATCATTTATTTGTATTACAAACATTTCACTTCCACTCTTTTAATTATTTTAAAATATGCCATACATTATTGTTAAATATAGTCACCTTATTTTGGTACTGAATACTAGATCATAACCATTCTCCCTAACTGTATTCTTACATCCAAGAATCATCCCCACTTTATACCCGCCTCGCCGCTACTCTTCAGAGCCTCTGGTAACCATCACTCTACTCTCTATCTCCATGTATTCAATTTTATTTTTAGCTCCCACATGTGAGTGAGAAAATGTGATACGTACCTTTCTCTGCCTGTCTTATTTCACTTAACATAATGTCCCCCAGTTCCATCCATGTTGTTGCAAATGACAGGAGTTCATTCCTTTTTATGGCTGAATAATATTTCATTGTATATACTTACCACATTTTTTATGCATTCATGGACACTTAAATTGATTCCTATTGTGAATAGTGCTGCAATACATATGGGAGTGCAGATATCTCTTTAATATATTAAGTTCCTTTCTTTGGGATATATACTCAGCATTGGGATTTCTGGATCGTATGTTAGTTCTATTTTCAGTTTTTTGGGGAACCTCCACAGTGTTCTCCATAGTGACTATACTAATAATAGTTTACATTCCACCAATAGTATACAAGGGTTACCCTTTCTCCACATCCTCACCACCATCTGTTATTGTTTGGCTTTTGGACAAAACCTATTTTAACAATGGTAAGATGATCTCACATTGTAGTTGTGATTTTTGATTCTCTGGTTATTAATGAGGTTGAGCATTTTTTTCATATACCTGTTGGACATTTGTATGTCTTATATTGAGAAATGTCTATTCAGATCTTGTATCTATTTTAATCAGATTATTTTTACCTATTGAATAGTTTGAGCTCCTTATATATTGTGGTTATTATTACCTTGTCAGATGGGTAGTTGCAAATATTTTCTCCCCTTCTGTGGGTTGTCTTATCACTTTTTTGATTGCTTCCTTTGCTGTACAGAAGCTTTTTAGCTTAATGTGATCCCATTTGTTCATTTTTCCTTTGGTTGCCTGTGCTTTTGAAGTCTTACACAAATCTTCATCAATACTTACATTCTAAAGTGTTTCCCTGATGTTTTTTTTTCAGTGGTTTCATAGTTTGAGTTCTTACATTTAAGTCTTTCATCCATTTTGATTCGATTTTTATATATGGCAGGAGATAGAGATCTAGTTTCATTCTTCTGCATAAGGATATCCAGTTTTCCTAGCACCATTTGGACTGAAGAGATTATCCTTTCCCCAATGTATGTTCTCGGCACTTTTTCAAAAATGAGTTGACTGTAATTTATGGGTTGTCTATTCTGTTCCATTGGTTTATGTGTCTGTTTTTATGCCAGCACCATGCTGTTTCGATTACTATAACTATGTAGTATAGTTAAAAGTCAGGTAATGTGATCCTGTCTAGTTTTGTTCTTTTTGCTCAGGATGGCTTTGGCTAGTCTAGGTCTTTTGTGGTTCCATATAATTTTTTTTCTATTTCTGTGAAGAATGTCATCAGCATTTGGATGGGGACTGCACTGAATTGTAGATTGCTTTGGGTAGTATGGACATTTAAAAAATATTGGCTCTTTTAACCCATGAACGTGGAACATCTTTCATTCTTTTGTGTCCTCTTCAATTTCCTTCATCAATATTTTACAGTTTTCATTATAGGCATCTTTTACTACTTTGGTTAAGTTTATTTCTAGGTAACTTATTTGTAGCTATTGTAAATGAGATTAGTTTCTTGATTTTTTTTGTTTGTTTGTTTTTTGTTTTTTTTCAGATTGACCACTGCTGGCATATAGAAATGCTACTGATTTTTGAATGTTGATATTGTGTTCTACAACTTTACTGAACTTATCAGTTCAATTAGTTTTTTGGTGGTGTCTTTAGGTTTGTCTAAATATAAGATTATATTATCTGCAAACAAGGTTAATTTGACTTCCTCCTTTCCAATTTAGATACTCTTTATTTACTTATCTTCTCTAATTGCCCTGGCAAGGATATCCAGTACTATGTCAAATAAGTGTTGAAAGTGGGCATTCTTGTTTTATTCCAGATTTTAGAAGAAAGGCTTTCAATTTTTCATGGAGAAAATCATGTAGAATATGATCAGAAGGTGACATTGGCAAAAATGACTGGAACAATGTATATATTGTGAGCTGATAAATACTTATTAAATTTTCCTTGTCTCTCCTCCAAAGAAACAGAGCCACTTTAGTAAGAATCCCAAAATCTGCCAATAAAATTACTTGGATTTTTTCCTTCCTCATGAGCAATATAATTTTAAAAAGATTATATTTAAAAAAGACTAATATCCTCCCTCATGAGCAATATATTTAAAAAAGATTTTAAACATAGTGGGTATTCAGAAGGTGTTACATAACTGAAATAGACTTTATCATTCAGGTCATTAAACTATCTCCTACCACATTGCTGTTTTTCTGACCCTAAACAGCTCTGTTTTGGGAATAGTGCAAATGGTTGACACTTTAGGACACTTGTTATTTGTTAGATACTTTCACAAAATTGAGTTTGACAGTAGAGAGAAGAAGAGATTATTTAAAAGTAATTAAATGTAAATGTTTGGTGGTATGATCTGTTAGATCTTGGAAATGTCTAAGAGTTCTTTGCCACCTACCTATATTACTAAGGGCTTCTTTGAGGATTTTGTGATGTGTAATAGCTGTTGTCCATAGGATTATTCACCAGCAAATAGTTTAAGATTTGAATGTAGATATATAATCTGATACTTAATCAGTGAAAATAGGCAATGGCTATTAATATTTAAAGCTATAATTGATTTTTAGATTTTTTTGTCTGTACAGTGACAAACTATTTGAACAGAAAAAGTTAAAAGTCGAAAATTGTGAGCTTTGTTTAAATAGTGCCAATTATACAAACTTTTCACCATTTCCAAATAATGATTGGATATATTCACTTTTCTTTGTGTGATTGGCATTGTTTGAGTTCCAGTGGTAGTCATGCTTAAAACTGCTTGACATAATGGGCTTTCTTCTATTGGAATATTTTGTATTAGTTTAACCTTGCTTTGTGGGATTTACAGTTTATTGAATAAGAACAGAATATGATTATTTCTTTTTAATAAAATATGAAAAATAAACATGGGAATACATTGCTTTTAAGAAGTAAATGTAAAATCAAATGACTTTAAACCTAGTACAGTTCTCTAGTGACATTTGTAATAACTTGCCTAAGGCATTAATTCTAATCACTTTGTCATTATTTGCAGTTTTATTTTAAGCAAGTTTTATATTAATTCCCCTTACTGTTTTAGTTTTAAAAGTAATATATGATTCTCTTTTAAATTATTTTTATGCTGCGACTTCAATCTTCCAATAAAACAAAAAAAGGGTTGCCTTAAGATGTAGTGAAACTGAAGCCTTAATTAGCGACAGGCATTATAGACAATGCTTAGAATAATTTGGGCAATCTTGAAACAGATCTTAATAATATTAGTTAATAGAGTGTTAGAGAGTTTACAGTATTCTCACCTAGGAATTGGTCCAATGGCAGCTACTAGGAGGACAGCAGCCCAGTGAGGCCCTGTATGGACCTGTTCAGTATCAATGAAACAAGGACAGGATCAGTAAGGAGATACTCATACACTTTCATAGTCATTGCTATATATTTCCACAATTCTAAATCAGAAAACTTTGTCATATTTTTAAACTTCAAATTTCCACATTTTTGAAAGGATTTAGTATGAATTTTCTAATTTTAGCATTCGTTGTTCTTCTAAATCTCATTTTTATGCAAAGAGAGGCATTGGTCCATATAGTAAAATTGTCCTTGCATTACTGTTATATTTAATATTTTGATTGATTCTTTTGTTGAGTATTCATGTGATTTAGTTATTAGACTCAAAATGATGCAACTTTAAAAACCCAGGAATAACATTCATGTATGATCAAGGAATGAAGAGCACAAAAATCAGTTTATTAATAGCTCTCCTGTGGAAACACTCATGATGTAAATTGGACTATTGAATGTTTATTTCGTTAGATATACTTGCATATTTCTTTGCTTTTACTTAGCTTCAAGCAATGTCTTCTACCTGTAGGTCTTCTCTCTCTGTATCTAAGTCCTTCGTATCTTTTCAAATCCAGATTTTACGTGCGAATATCCTATAGGAGATGTTTAGTGATCCCCCCAGCTGATAAAAGTTACCTTCTCTGAGTTTCTTATGACACAGAATTTGTATATTTTATGCCATGTATCAGTTTTCTACCTTGTATCATAGTAATTTACATATCTTCATCCTTTCTCTACTTTGAATTTATTGAGGACAGATTCTGTGTTTTACAAATCTGCATTGGGTACTCAATAAATATTTGTCAAATAACTAAATAAATGAGCTGTGTTAAAATTAAATTGGTTCCCGGAGTCTTAGTAAAATATAGCTGCAAACAAATATTTTTATTTCTGTTTGTGCTTTCAAAACTGCACTAAAATTATACTAAATAAATAAGAACCCTAATATTAGCACTATACCCACCAGAAAAAAAGAATAAATAAAAAAATACAGCCAGAGGAGTGAGATAAACATAGACCAAGGGAAGAGTTTAGATAAGTTATAACAGATTGTCAGAGGGAGAAATCTTCAAATTAAGTTCCTGAATTGCTGGTAAATATTTGACAACTCACTCTCTAAAAAATGTATGCATGTATTTAAGTTTGTTATCAACATAGTTTATAAATAATAAAAATATAAAATGTGTAATGATAAATAATAAAATGTACAATATCTTTATTGTAAAATCCATATAGTGATTTAATTCTCACAGAATGTTTTTCTTGCTTTTTACAAAATACTGGTATCTATAGTCAATCTGTGGTTGCATAGGATGAACAAGTGTATTCCCAACATGTATGTTTAAACAAACAAATAGATGAAAGTGGTACAAGGAATATCCACATGAAACTCGGCATTTTCAACAATAATGTGAGAAAATTTTTAGCTAATTTGGATAATAGCTTTCAAATAGCCAAAGAATATTTCTTAAATTTGTTGTACTATTCACAATATAATGATTACAGATGTGCCAACAATTTACTTTCATCTTCATTGTTAACATTTCCTCCATTGTATACTTCAATGTAGACAATAGACAAAACAATAAATCAAGTTCTCATTTGTAGTATTTGCCAATTCACATATTGTAAATATTCTCATCATAACTAGTTTCGACATACCAATAGTATGTTACTGAATGTGGACTTCGAAAGAGATTAAGAAATAGCACACCATCATTAACATTCTCTACCACATAGATGTAAAGATGTAAAGAATCTTGTGAGTATTAATAGTAGTAAAATTCTTAAGAATTTATGAGTTTAAAATATAATGTTTTGTCTTGAATCCATATACTTGCATTTTAATAAAATTTATTTGGAAGGAATTATGTATACTTTGATTTGTAATAATAGCTGTGTTTAACAATGAACTTGCAAAATTCCTGAAAACTTACAAGGGTCAAAACTTGTGGCGGGTGTGGTGGCTCACACCTGTAATCCCAGCACTTTGGGAAGCCAAGGAGGGCAGATCACTTGAGGTCAAGAGTTCAAGACCAGCCTGGCCAACATAATGAAACCCTGTCTCTACTAAAAATACAAAAACTAGCCAGACATGCTCACTTGAACCCAGGAGGTGGAGATTGCCATGAGCCAGGATCATGCCACTGCATTCCATCCTGGGCAAGAATGAGACTCTGTCTCAAAAAAACAAAACAACAAACAAACAAACCTTGTACACGTCTATTTCTACAGCAAATGGGCTTCAGGGTGGGGAATACATTTTAAAAATCATTTGAAAGTCTTTTCAAAGAATGATCTTATCTTTTCCCCATCTGAGCAATCAGACATTTATCCAGACTATTCCTGCAGGAAGAAGCCATTGCCTGTATACAAAGACTCCAATAAGCTTTCTGGAGCTTCTCTCAGAAGTATTATAGGGAGTCAATCAAAAGAGATGATTTTTGAGAAAAGCTGCCGATATATGAGACAGAAACAAAAATACCAAGCAAACAAAGAAGAAACAAACTCACAGAAAAGAGAAATAAATCAGAACTGAGGAAAAAGATCTATGGAAATATTTTCATGACAAAAGATAATGATATTAAAAAAACAATAATCATGGAACATAAGCAATCAACACTTTAATTGTGAAGAAAAGAGCACTTTAGAACTCAAATATTTGGCCATTTATATTTTAAAAATCAATAGAACACTTGAAAAATAAACCAAAATAAATCTCTCAGGAAATGTAGCCAAACTAGGTGAAAATAGGAGATAAAAGATTTTAAAATTAGAAGGTCATTTAGGCGATCCAACATCTCACTTACAAGATTTTTATAATAATCAAATATAATAAAGAGATTTTCACACAAATAATACAAAAAAGAATTACAGATTTGAAAAGGACTCTCCAATATGATGGGCCCAATCCTTATGTGCTGTATATTATAAGTTCTAAAATAACATGATACATTATGTGGAAACTTTAGAGCCACTGAATATTAAAAATGCCCATAGGGAAAAGCAGGAATAAAATTAAAAACAAAACTAAATGTGACTGGAATAGCATTTGTTTTTCAACTAACTGCTAGAAGTCAAACTTTTTTTCACTTTTAAACTTCTAAAGAAAAATTATTCTCAATCTAGAATTTTATACCTAACTGTCATAAGAGTAAGAGTGTGATAAAGGTGCCCTCACATATGTAAGATCTGAACATGTTTTCCTGCAGTGTTCTTTCTTAGGAATCCATCAGAGGATCTTCTCAACAAAATCAGCTAAGAATACATGAGATCCAGAAACTAGAGGAACACCTCTAGAAGACTGTTAAAGATAGTCCTGGCCGGATGCAGTGGCTGACGCCTGTAATCCCAGCACTTTGGGAGACTGAGGCGGGTGGATCACCTGAGGTCAGGAGTTTCAGACCAGCCTGGCCAACATGGTGAAACCCCATCTCTACTAAAAATACAAAAATTAGCCGGGCCTGGTGACAAGCGCCTGTAATCCCAGCTACTTGGGAGGCTGAGGCAGGAGAATTACTTGAACCCGGGAGGCAGAGGTTGCAGTGAGCCGAGATCGCACCACTGTACTCCAGCCTGGGTGACAGAGCAAAACTCTGTCTCAAAAAAAAAAAAAAAAAAATAGTCCACAGACCACACACTCAGTCTAAATAGGAGCATGAGTATGGGAGAATGGGAGTATTTAGAAATATGTGCGAGGATTTCAAAAAATTAAGGTTTGAAAACCAAAGGAAAAATGCAGTTAACTCCAGGTAGAGAAAAGTTGCCTAAGAGGAATTATAACTGCAGTCAAATTACAGTCAATTTTTATTGTTTGCTAATTGTGTATTTGTAAATTTGCCTAAAATTTACACCAAAACTTATTTGTTATCCCCCAGTCAATATTCACGGCACTTTTGCAGGCATTCACAGACATGTGAAAAGCAGCCAAAAATTTGAGATACTCAACACGCATATGCCCAACTGAGGTCAAGCCAAGCAACACTCTGCCTTCTTCTTTCTGCTCTCAAACTATATACAAGTGTCTTTTTGCTGTCTGTTTAGTGTCACATTATTTTACATTTTCGTTATAATTTCACTGTTTTAAACGGCCTGCAAATGTAGTGTGTAGTTTCTCAGTGCAAGAAGGCTATGATGAGCCTCATGGAGAAAATGTGGGCACTAAATAAGTTTCATTCAGGTATCTGTTATTGCACCGGTTGGCCATGACTTGAATGTTAATAATTCAATAATCTATATTAAATAAGGAGTTTTGTATTTATTGGCAAATACATAAATATATTGACAAATAGGTTGTGATCAGAGGCTCACAGAAACCTAACCCTATATTTTCACCTCAAAACAATGGTTCATTATTGGATAATTCAATCATAAAGCAATGGTTCATGTGGATAATTCAATGTTTGCAGCCAATGTGTAGAACATAACTATTATAAATAACAAGAATTGACTGTATATTACACCATTTGGCCTGACAACAAGCAATTTCTAATAATAAATATAAAATACATAAAGTAGATGTTAATATGACCAAAGTTTGCCACATAGCCATACTGGGAAAATGGTGAGAGGATGGCAAAATAGGAAATAATAGGCAAAGCTAAAATTAATATCCTAAAGTATAAACATATTGTATATAATTTTGAAGTTAAATAAGTAGGAAAAACAACTCAGTACTTGAAAGTGGTGGCCTACAGAAGCATCCTGGGAGAGGGGGAAGAGTGAGGTAGGAAAGTGTTGCTTTTCATATAAATTGTGATATTACATGTGGTTATAAATCAGGATTAAATGTTTACTTGAGAGAAATTAGTATTTTACAAATAAAAATAAAGTTTTGATAATATAGTTAATTTTAAAGCTCATCTACATGGTTAAGTCAACTTTAAATTTTAAGGTAATGTCTTTTAATCCATGGTAGAGAAAAAAAAAAGTCTTTCAGGGGGTGTTTTGGTGAGATTTGGAAATAAATTATACTAAAAACGATCTGTACAATGGAAAATGATTGTATTTTATGTCATTGATACAAAGCACACATTTCTTTATGTCTATTTTTGTTTTGTTGATTTGTTTACCTAAAGGTATTTTAAACATTTGGTAATGTGAAAGCCTGACTAATCAGACCACTTTCTCATCCTGGAATTCCAATTGACATTCTCGACTGCATGAATAAATGATTCTACTGAATTTAGTCTTCCATTTTGTCACATATTACAAAGCAGTGTTGCATCTTGGCAAAAATTCTGCTGGTAGATATATGTATATATATATATGTACACACACACACATATACACACACACACATATCTATATATAGAGAGAGATATAGATATATACACACACAAAGCTCAAATATTAACTAAGATGTTCTTCTTGTCAATAGTTTCTAAGATAGACCTAAAACTAAATCAGTTGTGTTTCATATAATAGCAGTAACACTATTGGCAATTTGTATGCGGTCGTTTGCAGTAAGAATGGAGAATAACTTGGTGGAAACTTCTGAAAGCTACAGTTCCAGAGTAACAAAAGGAAAAAGAGGAATTCGTCTAGTAAAAGGCCGTATGGCAAAGTGTATGTTAAAAAAAAAAAAAGTGGAAAAGGCATTATTGACTTGCAGAATGTTCTAAAAATACCTCATTCAATAAGTACATCTTGCTAGTTGACACACAATTATGTTAATGTAGTAAGAGTTGAAGAGTAATTTAAATATAATTAGGGCTTAAAAGATACATGGCATAGAGCATGGAACTTGTTTTGGCGCGTGCGTGGAGTATTTTTAATGAAAATAAAAAATAAAAGTAATCTGTAAATTAAAACCTTTGTGTATTTTCAATTTCATTTGAGGTTATTCTCACATGACTGATAAAGATGATGAAACAAATGAGTTTCATCATGAATTTATTCTCATATAAATGACACTTTTCAACATCCTGTTTTGGAAAAAAGAATGAAAAACATTTCTTGATTCTTAATAGGACACCTATTTCATGAACATTCATTTCCATGCCAGGTCCCAAGCTGCATCTATAAAACAACAAAATAATTTATTAAATAAGGGGAAAATCAGTCTACCAACTACTAATAGCAAAACAACAATATTTTAAAAATAACATTGGCTGATACTTATTTTCAGTGAGTTTACTCATTGTTTTTTAGAGAGTTGATTTGTTCTGACATAATTCTAATCAATTATAGTAAGTTGTAGATAGATTTAGTGTGCTCTGTAAAAAAATCATCTAATCTGACCTACTTTTAAATACCAGTTACTAGTAGACCAAGTGTAACTCCTGGTGACAGCTATAAATTGAGTATTGTATTAGTTCATTTTCACACTGCTATAAAGAGATACCCAAGACTGGGTAATTTATGAAGGAAAGAGGTTTAATTGACTCACAGTTCCACACAGCAGGGGAGGCCTCAGGAAAGTTACAACCATGGCAGAAGGTGAAAGAGAAGCAAGGCACCTTCTTCACAAGGCAGCAGGAGAGAGAATAGTGAAGAAGGAACTTCCAAACGCTTACTGGGGAGACCACCTCCATGATGCAATCACCTCCCTCCCTCAACACGTGGGAATAACAGGTTGCTCCCTCAAGAGGATTACAATTTAAGGTGAGATTTGGGTGGGGACACAGAGCCAAACCATATCAAGTATGAAAACTGATCCTTTTCTAGAAGTCCCTTCCAATTTTAAAAAATTATATTAGGACAATTTATTTATTAACTCATTGAGCAAACACTTATTTTTATTTTTATTTTCTTTTTTCTTTTTTTCTTTTTTTTTTTTGAGACAGAGTCTTGCTCTGTCGCCCAGGCTGGACTGCAGTGGTGCGATCTCGGCTCACTGCAACCTCCGCCTCCTGGGTTTAAGTGATTCTCCTGCCTCAGCCTCCTGAGCAGCTGGGACTACAGGTGTGTGCCACCACATCCGACTAATTTTTGTATTTTTAGTTGACATGGGGTTTCACCATGTTGGCCAGGGTGTTCTCAAACTCCTGACATCAAATGATGCCGCTGCCTAAGCCTCCCAAAGTGCTGGGATTACAACTGTGAGCCACCACGCCCGGCCAACACTTATTGAATACGAGTTACGATTCAAGAATCTGTTAAGTGTAGAAGATATAAGCAACAGGTAAATTTTAAAAATTCATAAGAAATACTATGTTAATCTTACTATGATGAAGTATTATGAGAACCTATAGGAAGAAGGTATTTCCTGAGTCCTAAAGGTTGGCTCTCAAGTAGAATAGATTTTGATATTTTAGAACAACATCAGTGAAATGGTTGAAAGCTGGTTTATTCCTATATCCTTATATACAGTCTAAATGGAAGGATAAGAGATATACTAACAAATTAAAAATCTTAACAAAATGCCAGGAAATAAACAACAAATTTAGATACGAAAGATAAAGGAATGCAAAAAAATACTATATGCTATTCTTTGTTTCATTTAGCATTGTTTCATAAGCATCTTTCCATGACCTTAAATATAAAGCATGAAATTTAATGGCTTTCTACTTGATATGATTAGGCTTTGTGTCCCCACCCAAATCTCATCTTGAATTGTAATTCCCAGGTGTTGAGGGAGAGACCTGGAGGGAGGTTATTAGATCATGGGGGTGGCTTTCCCCAAGCTCTTCTCATAATAGTGAGTGAGTTCTCACAGAAACTGCTGGTTTTATAAGGGGCTCTTCTCCTTCTCTTTCTCACTATCTCTCCTTCTCTTTCTCACTATCTCTCCTGCCACCTTGTGAAGAAGGTGCCTCCTGGTTCCCCTTCCACCATGATTGTTCATTTCCTGAAGCCTCCCCAGCCATGCCAAACTGTGAATCAATTAAACCTCCTTTGTTTTTAAATTACCTAGTCTTGGGCACTATCTTTATAGCAGTGTGAGAACAGACTAATACACTACTATAACATCTTATTGATGTATGCACTCTCCTTTTTTTTCCCTTTTTTTGGGGCCATTTAAGTTATTTATAAAGTTGTACTAAGATAAATAGTATTGTGATGAATAAACATACATATGTATATATATATATATTGCATATCTTTGTGTACATCTTAAATTTTTTTCTTAGAAGAAATTTATAGGATGCCAATTATATCACCTAAGAATATGAGAAAATTTAAGCCTCTTCATATGTATTGATAAATTGTTTTCTAATAATTTTGCCCCAAATTATATATAAATTATACTAATATATATGTTTGTTTGTTAATTGTCTATCTTTCCCAGCTGAATGTAAGTCCTGTGAGAGTGGGAACCTTTAGTTTTATTTAAAGAGGCCTAGAATAATTCCTGGGATATACTAGGAGCTCCATAAATATTTATTTAGTTGAATGAATGAAATTTCAAAAGGAATAATTTTAAGCCAAACTCTTCACGTATTTAGATTCAAAATCTGGCTGCTCTATATAAAAGAAATAATTTTAAACATTGAGAAACTAAAGCAGTTAACACAGATTTTTTTCAAGAAATTATAACTTGGTGTGAATCCAACAAAGTGCTAAGGTGAGAAACTTTACTGAGGAGAAAATCAGCTTTGAAATACCCAAAGGACTGTAAATCATGCTGCTATAAAGACACATGCACACGTATGTTTATTGCGGCACTATTCACAATAGCAAAGACTTGGAACCAACCCAAATGTCCAACAATGATAGACTGGATTAAGAAAATGTGGCACATATACACCATGGAATACTATGCAGCCATAAAAAAGGATGAGTTCATGTACTTTGTAGGGACATGGATGAAATTGGAAATCATCATTCTCAGTAAACTATCACAAGAACAAAAAACCAAACACCACATATTCTCACTCATAGGTGGGAATTGAACAATGAGAACACATGGACACAGGGAGGGGAACATCACACTCTGGGGACTGTTGTGGGGTGAGGGGAGGGGGGAGGGATAGCATTGGGAGATATACCTAATGCTAGATGACAAGTTAGTGGGTGCAGCGCACCAGCGTGGCACATGTATACATATGTAACTAACCTGCACAATGTGCACATGTGCCCTAAAACTTAAAGTATAATAATAAGAGAGAGAAAAAAAAGAAATAAAACGATAATTAAGGTAGAATGTTACCAGTAAGAGTTGTTGTTACCCAGCAAAGCAGACTAGAATAAAGGGCCAGAAATGATGCTAAAGATGGAGCTCAGAATTTCATGAACCCCAATTCCATACATGTAGAGGCCATAACCATCTGGAATCATGCTTCCAACCTTATCCTTGCTCTGTTCTGGTAAAACATGCATGAGGAAGAATTTGTTTTGAAAAAAAGATGTATTAGAAAAATGCCACTATACTTATTTAAAATTCACTAGATTTTCAGAGTTAGGAAGAATGAGTGTTCGCTCTAGTTTGCATGGATCAACTGAGGTTACTTGTCTGTTGAATATTATCTTTCTATCACAAAATGGCTTTTCATTGAGAAATTAATATCTTCTTGAGCAACATTTGTTCTTTTTCACTCTGATAAGTCTGGAAGGAAGACTAGATCTTGCCTTCTAGATTACCATTAAATATTTTCACCTTCTACCTATCCCGTAAAGGATGATCTGGATAGGCAGCTGGTGATAGATAATGTGAATCCAGGAATCTGGAGTAAACCTGATAGAAAATCTGTGTTATGATGTAACAGGAAAAAGCAAAGACAACTGGATGTTAAGGGGTGAATTTCTTACCAAGAAACATCAGTTGTGTCAGTCAAGAAAAGGAAAGAAATGTTGTTGCCCTCACAGAGATTACACTGAGGTTTGGGAAAAATAATAAATGAACAAACTAAAATGTATTAAATCACTGGCTGAAGAACTAACCAAATTAAATACAGAAGTAAATAAATTTACATAAAGATATAAATAATAGAGAGTGTGTCATGTGGTAATTAATGCTAAAGAAAAGTAAAACAGTACAGGGTTGGGAGCATTGGTAGGTTGGATGCAATTTAAAATAGAGTAGTCAGGAAATGCCTAATGGAGAAGGAGAGATTTTTGGAAAACTCTAAAAGAAGAAAGGGAATGAGGCAAGTAAACACCTAAGAGAAAAGTGTTTATAGGCAAAGGAAACAATAAGACCATATGCCCAAACCTGGCAGTCAGGTGATATCACCCAGAACAGAACTCTGGTCACTCCCAAGTTGATAAGGTAGAACCAGCAGAAAAGACTGAGGAGGAGAGGCCAGTGAGGTGGAAAGAGGCCACATAAGTAAGGAATACTGAAAGCCAGGTGAAAAATGTGTTGCATGGCGGAGAATCAATGCGTCTCTTGCTGCTAAGTCATGTAGAACATGGACCAAGTATTAATCATTTGGCTATGTGGCATCATTGAAGACAAGGACAAGAACACTTGTGAAATCCTAATTCATACTGTAAGTTCAGATGATATTAGAAAGAACAGAACTGGAGAGAGTGAGTGAGACAATTTTGAGAAATTTTGCTTTAAAGAGAAAGAGACCCCAAGGCAGGCAGATCACAAGGTCAGGAGTTCAAGACCAGCCTGGCCAACATGGTGAAACCCTGTCTCTACTGAAAATACAAAAAATTAGCCGGGCATGGTGGCGGGCACCTGTAATCCCAGCTACTTGGGAGGCTGAGGCAGGAGAATCATTTCGACCCGGGAGGTGGAGGTTGCAATGAGTGGAGATTGCGCCACTGTACTCCAGCCTGGGCGACAGTGTGAGACTCCATCTCAAAAAAAAAAAAAAAAAAAAAAAAAAGTGGAAGAGACCAATGAAGCTGTAACTGAAGACGGAGACAGAGGCAAGAATAAACTTTTTTTTTTCCTTTTGGGAAGAGAAATAAGGCATGTTTGTATGCTAATGGAAAGATCCAATGAATAGGAAAATAATTGATGATGCCGGGAAGAGGGGAAGAATTCTGAAGCAGAGTCCCAGAATAAGGGAAAGGCAATCAAATCTAGGGTACCTAGGGTTTCTACCATTGGGTGTCTTTTCCTCACCCTTCCTGGACTCTGTTTTTGTTCTAGTATTTATACAAGACACTGCTATTGTAGAGGCATTGCAAGAATTCCATTAAGCATCTTTCTGTGATTTAATCCCACTTAAGCCCTTGATAGTCACTGATAAAGAGACTTAAAATCTCCATTTTTGCCAGTTTGAAGATTCTATACAAGATGTAAAGTTAACTTCATTTTCTTGATTTGTTTATTTTGTCAACTTGTGTTGGAATAATTGAACTCAATCCTACTTTATTTTCTATGTTCCATTTAGACATTCTTCCCTATTGAGAGTTAGTTAGAACATTTGCTTCCAGTGAGTCATCTGCCTACTTGAGATAGTTACCACCTATTGCTACATGACAAAGACAATGAAAATATAGAGATCTGCATAGTAATACAAAATGAGAGAATTTACTGCCTGTGTGTAATCATATCCAGAAAAGAATGCAGAGTGAAAATGTTTAAAATGAGATGGTGCATGGACAGGGTGTAGTTTGTTAGTCTAATTTGGATATTAATCTACAACTTAAGGAATGTGGGATTTCGAAGTTTGTTTTTAATTGATATTACAATCTCTCAGAGTCAAGAACAAGATGACAACTGATACTTCTGTGTATGGGGGGGATGTGTGCATAGACATATGTACATGACTACATATTCTGCATACATTTACATTCATATTAATTTACGTACAGTATGCACATATTTTCATGCATTCACATATGCGTGCACATACACACATACATATATATTTGTATTTATGTTTTGAAGGAGAGACTCCTGATTATTCCTTTGAAGTGTGACTATGATTTGGTATAATTATGATGTTTGGTTTATTACCAGCTTCATTTATAGAACTAAAAGGCCATGGTTAATTACTTCAAATGAATAACATATTGATTAACAAAAGCTGTTTTGTGCCTTTTTGAGACACCGTTTAGGTAGCCTAAGACATTCACATCCTCTAAGAATTAGATGATTTCCCTTTCTTGTGTTGTTTCTAGATGCTGGTAAGCAAACTGTAGCTCCCCAGAAATAGCCTAGATACATCATCTACTTGGGAAATACTGTTCTGGACAAAAATCATTACAGTTCTGATTGATGCCCAGCATTTTAAGCAGTCTTCTTCTGAAAGAGAGATGCCTCCCTTTTAGCCCTGAATAAATATAACTAAGAGATGGTTATTTAATTCCTTTGTCATAAAAAGGTTTTAAGAAATCTTGATCTTTTCACATTATGTGAAAATTGTTTCCTTAATACATGGGTCACAGGCATTAATATAAGTGATATGTTTTCCACTTTTCTAAAATTCCACAGACCTTGAAACTGTTCTGGATATTGAGGATTCAACAATTCATTTTTAGTGCTCATGACGACTGGGTGTAGTAATTTAGGATGTGGCTATTTATTGAACAGGAATGAAAGCTGACTTGGGAGTATAAGCTATTTCTCTTATTATATCCAGTCAAGTATTACAGTCAAGTACTACAGTGGGCCCCAAGGTAACTAAAAAGTGAAAACTTGCCCTCCAGGTTAAGATACATATCCTGTAGCTGCAGGTATAGAATCATTCATTCTTTCATTCTAGAGATGTTTATTGAGTTTCAATATAGATTGCTTTGTTTTCAGAGCTGTCTACTCATAAAAAATAAAGATGAAATAATAAGATATTCAACAAAAATGTTTCTGTTTCTATGTTTTGATAAATTTTCTCTTAATTAATGCTTCCACAGAAAATTGATGAATTTACTTCAATGGACCATTGTAATTTTCAAGGATAGTATAAAATTGTAGCAAAATTAAATGCTGTATCTATTGTATATCTATTTTTCTTTTCTAGTCATTTATGATACTATGTCTTATAAAAGTTTCATACAAAGATATTCTCATTTGTCTGAAATAATGAGAATGCTTCTTTCCTACTTGACCATAATTATCTGCTCTTATTTCCTAAAATAATCCATTTGGAACTTTTTTTTATTTCTCTAAAATACCTTTATAATTCAAAGGAAGTCTTTCAGAATTGGTAACTCCAGTCTGACTTAAGGATTGGAAAGTACATTACATCTTCTTATAACTTGTAATTTGGAAATGTTATGACATTGCAAAGCATGCACCGTTATCAAGAGTCATAATATTGTGTTCAAAATAAAATTAAATATGGAAAAATATGCATATAAATATATAAAAATATGAGAAACACTTATTTTTATTGATTATTTTCAAATATGTATAATATACCTATAAAAACATAAACCTCTACAAGTTTGTAGAGTTTCCTTTTCCATTTCAGTTGAAGAATTTTTTGTCCAGATGCACAAATACCTCTGAGACAAAGGCGGAATATGTCATAGGATCCAGAAAATCATTATGAAAACAAAGCTCTTTTCTCTAGTGGCATGAGGTATATAGTATGATGAGGGGGGTCTATTTTGCTCTTTGTACACTGGTCATTTTTGCAAAGGCCATTTATTAAAGCAACAGATAGGGAGACATCAGTTATGTTTTTGGCCTTCTGTTTACTATAAAATGTTGGAAGACTTGAAAAGCCCCACTAAAATCATTGAAAAGATCAAAGCCTAAGTCCAGTGTCACAGGAGAGAATGGACACTGTCAATTGCAGTGGATGTAGAATGTTTTACTACAAAAAGCTTGGAAATAGTCTTTAATTTGTATTTTTTTCCTATGTAAGCTGTTAGGTCAGTGGCTGTTTTTTAAAAAAAATTACTTTTATGTGAGCTCGATAGTTGACAGTCTTCTAGTGATAGACTTCTTATGCTTGGATATATTGATAAGCTGTAAAAGTACCCTGAAATTTGATATCCTTTCTCATCAGCATCTGCCTATTTGTATATAAAGTTTATATAATATACATATTTTCAAGAAGCACAGTTTCTTTAAAACAAGCTTTTCCCCTGCTCGAGTGTTCTAACTTTTTGCTGTTGCCTCAGATTTCTTTTCTCAGATTTTGTAGACCTATGTTACCCTTGTAACATTTCTATTGTTGAATCACTAACAGCAGATAATGAATCACCACCAATGTCAAAGGCAGAGTGTTGCCCTAAAGATCAAATTTAAATCTTGGCCATGTTGTTTTGAGACTCTGATTATTTTCTCTTCCTCCCCCTCCTCTCCTTCATTTTTATATTATTATTTTTTGACTTGGAAGTGCTCCCACATCTCTCTCTTTGACAAAAAGTTATATTAAAGTCTAGACTTTGGGAAGGCAAAGAGCCAATCTCTTTACTTTTTTGACCACAAGAATGTGCAGTGTCATCTTTTAAAAATAAGAATTGTTTTCAGTAACCTAAATGAATCTGTCAGATAAGATTTTAGGAGGTGTTTAGGGAAGTATTTCAATTTTATTTATTGTTCATTACTTATGATGAATTTAGCACTTACACACAGGAATCTTTTTGTGAAAAGCACTTAACAGATTTCTTTGAATTCTCCCAATAATCCTGTAAGAAATAGAAATAGAGTATTTATAACCTCTATCTCACAGGTGAAGCTGCTGAAACCACACATTTATACTCTTGTGCGATTTGCTCTTGGAAAGAAATTTCTTCAAGTTTGGAAGATTCACTATTGCTACTCTCTTGGAGGCAAAAAAAAAAAAGAAAAAGTTACTAATACTCTGAATCTAGTGGCCTGAACTCAAACCTCCTTATTGAGTGCATTTATGCCACTTAGAGGGACTTGATCACACATTTCTGTTTGGATCCCTTTCATGTGGGGTTTGGACTGTGGATTTGTGGATTGTGGATTGACAGACATGTGGATTATGGACTGACTTTCCCTTCCTTTGAGATCCTGTGTAGCTGAAGCTTTTTCTATGAAATGGTTCATGGGTATGATATAAAAGGAAGTAGAGCTATAACATTGCTGTTTTGCAAAACTCTTCTAATATTGAAGTTGGCATTTACACTCACGCGTAATTCTCTAAGGATTCAGTCCCTGTGAGTTTTTCTAAGCTTTGTATTTTATCTTTTAATCTGTTTTTTATTGTAGAACATGCAGAATATTTGCAGATTCAAACACTCTTAAATTAAAGGAGTGGTATTCATTTCAATGTTATAATTTTAAATTTGGGGAGCATTTTTGCCTCTAATAAATAAGCATAAACCATCCAATTTTCCAGAGATGCCGCAAGTTTCATTAATAGCTGCTTTTCATTCATTAAGGACTTATTATTTTGGATAGACAGTTTCCCATGAACCTTTCCTAATCCATTTCTAATTAGATCAACCCAGGCCCAGGTATGACTTCTTAGCTTACAGAAGGTAATGCCTCATAACTGAGGGCAGATGGGCCTTCTGGATGTGGAACACACAAGTATTCCTTTGGTGAAGGGAGAAAAATAAAAAAGATCTGTCTTAGTTTGGGATGCTATAACAAGATACCATAGACTGGGTTGCTTAAACAACAGACATTTATTTCACACAGTTCTGGGGACTGGAAAGTTGGAAATCAGGGTGCTAGCATGGTTGGGTTCTGGTGAAGACCCTCTTCCTGGCTTGTAAAGTAACACTTTCTTGCTATATTCTCACGTGGCAAAGCAAGAGCAAGTGAGAGAGGGAGATCTCATATCTCTTCTTATAAAGGTACTAAACTCATCATGAAAGTTCCACCCTTATGATCTAATTACTGCCTGTTATGGACTGAATGTTTTTGGTTCCCCCAAATTCATAAGTTGAAACCTAAACTTCAGTTTGATGGTATTTGGAGATGAGGTCTTTGAGAAGCAAATCTGTTTTGGAAGTGAAGCCTTCCCAAATGGGCTTAGTGCTCTTATAGGAAGAGACCAAAGAGCTAGCTGGCTATTTTTTGCCATATGAGTATACAACAAGAAGTCAGCAGTTTGTAACCAAGGAAAAGGCCCTCACCAGAACCTGGCCAGGCTGGCACCCTGACATCAGACTTTCAGCCTCTGGAACTGTGAGTAATAAATTCTCTTGTTTGTAAGGCATCCAGGCTCTTATACTTTGTTATAGCAGCCCAAACTGACTTTAACATCTCTCCAAAGCCCCATCTTCAAATACCATCACACTGGGGGTTAGGGATTCAACACATGAATATATTGAACACACAACTTAGTCCATAGCAAGACCTAAAATATATATTAAACTAACCATTGTCCATGGTAGTGGCCAATTACCTGGCTCCCACTTGGCTGCAGTCTATGCTGAGGTCCTTTGTAAGCCTCTTGCATTTAGAAAGAAAGTCTCTTACCCATTTCTCTGTGTTTTTACTACAGGTCTATTGCCAGCCCTTTTTCTGTTTCAATGAAGTCAATTTTTAATGTAAAATGAAATAGTTTTAACGTTAAATGGTGCTTCAAAATTGTCAATGCAAAGCAATGTATACCAGATATACTTTCAATAGAAATAGGAAATTTAAAACATAGTGCCTATGTTTTAATTGCATTCATTCTATCATGGCCATCTTTTTATCACAAAAACATAAGGAAAGAGATGCTAGTAAGTACCACCTTTTCTAAGCTGAGAGATCATATAATACTGTTAGTCAACTAATAAATATGGCACAATTGAAGGTGTGTTTCTAAGTCAAGATAGATACAAAGTTAGGAAAAGATATGTAGTCATTGGAAGATATCCAGAATACATCAATCTATTTTCTGCACTAGCCTAGCTCAGATGACAGTATTTAAAGACAGAAATTCTTTGATAGGCCAATAAGATGGAGGAAATGTACCAGATAAAATAAATGAGAGAATGCAAGTGTGACACAAGTTAATAACTTCACATATAAAGATGAATTTAATGGCTGTGGCAGGTAGCTACTAAGTATTAAGTAGTTTCAAACAAATTAAAGATTCACTTGACCTAGCCATGAAGATATATGGACTATGTGAAGGGCAATCTGTAGTCACTAATCTTAATTCTAAACATGTCAGGAAGAAGTTATCTCATAATGTGAAAAAACATACAATTTACTTTCTGGTAATATATTATGTTCACATATTTCCAAGTATTTTCAAAGATAGATAGATAGATAGACAGATAGATAGATAGATAGATAGATAGATAGATAGACAGACAGACAGACAGACAGACAGACAGGGTTTGGCTCTGTGTCCCCACCCAAATCTCAGTTTGAATTCTACTTCCTTAATTCCCATATGTTGTGGCAGGGACCTGGTGGGAGATAATTGAACCATGGAAGTGGGTCTTTGCCATGCTCTTCTCATGATAGTGAGATCTGATAGCTTTAAAAATGGGAGTTTCCCTGCACAGGCTCTCTTTTTGCCTGCTGCCATCCATGTAAAACTTGACTTGCTCCTCTTTGCCTTCTGCCATGATTATGAGGCCTCCCAGCCACGTGGAACTGTTAAGTCTGTTAAATCTCTTTTTCTTCCCAGTCTCAGGTATGTCTTTATCAGCAGCATAAAAATGGACTAATAAAGTAAATTGGTACCAGTAGGGTGGGGCATTGCTGAAAAGATATCCAAAAATGTGGAAGCAACTGTGGAACTGGGTAAGAGGGAGAGGTTGAACAGTTTAGAGGGCACAGAAGAAGACAGGAAAATGTGGGAAAATTTGGAACTCCCTAGAAACTTATTGAATGGCTTTGACCCAAATGCTGATGGTATGGTCAATGAAATACAGTCTGAGATGATCTCAGATGGAGATGGGGAAACTTGTTGAGAGCTGGAGCAAAGGTCACTCTTGCTATGTTTTAGCAAAGAGACTGGCAGCATTTTTCCCCTGCCCTAGAGATTTGTGGAATTTTGAACTTGAGAGAGATGATTTAGGGTATCTGATGAAAGAAATTTCTAAGCAACAAAGCATTTAAGAAGTGACTTGGGTGCTGTTAAAGGCATTCAGTTTTAAAAGGGAAACAGAGCATAAAAGTTTGGAAAATTTGCAGCCTGACAATGTGATAGAAAACCAAGTCTCATTTTCTGAGAAATTCAAGCCAGCTGCAGAAATTTGCATAAGTGATAAACAGCTGAATGTTAATACCCAAGACAATGGAGAAAATGTCTTTAGGGCGTGTCAGAGCCTTTTCCAACAGACCCTGCCATCAGCCCAGAGGTTTAGGAAGGAAAAATGGTTTCATGGGATGGGCCCAGGGTCCCAATGCTGTTTGCAGTCTAGGGACTTGGTGCCCTATGTCCCAGCGACTCCAGTCATGACTACAAGGGGCCAAAATACAGCTCCAGCTGTTGCTTCAGAGGGTGGAAGCCCCAGTCCTCAGAAGCTTCATGCGGGTGCACCGAAGTTAAGAATTGGAGTTTGGGAATCTCTGCCTAGATGGCAGATGATGTTTGGAAATGCCTGGATGTTCAGGCAGAAGTTTGCTGCAGGGGCAGGGCTCTCATGGAGAACCTGTTCTAGGGCAGTGTAGAAGGGAAATGTAAGGTTGGAGACCCCACACAGAGTCCCTACTGGGGCACCTCCTAGTGGAGCTGTGAGAAGGGGGCCACTGTCCTCCAGACCCCACAATGGTAGATCCACTGGCAGCTTGCGCTCTGCATCTGGAAAAGACACAGACACTCAATGCCAGACAGTGAAAGCAGCTGAGAGGGAGGCTATACCCTGCAAAACTGCAGGGGCAGAGCTACCCAAGACCGTGGGAACCCACCTCTTGCATCAGCATGACCTGGATGTGAGACACGGTGTCAAAGGAAATCATTTTGGAGCTTTAAGATTTAATGGCCCTGCTGGATGTTGGACTTGCATGGGGCCTGTAGCCCCTTTGTTTTGACCAATCTCCCATTTGGAATGGGTGTATTTACCCAATGCCTGCATCCCCATTGTATCTAGGAAGTAACTAACTTGCTTTTGATTTTACAGGCTCATAGGCGGAGGAAGGGACTTTCCTTGTCTCAGATAAGACTTTAGACTGTCAACTTTTGAGCTAATGCTGAAATGAATTAAGACTTTGGGGGACTGTTGAGAAGGAATGATTGGTTTTGAAATGTAAAGACATGAGATTTGGGAGGGACCTGGGGTGGAATTATATGGTTTGGTTCTGTGTCCCCACCCAAATCTTATCTTGAATTGTACTCCCATAATTCCCACGTGTCATGGGAGGGACTTGGTAGGAGATAATTGAATCATGGGGTGGGTCTTTCCCATGCTGTTCTTGTGATAGTGAATAAGTCTTACGAAATCTGATGTTTTAAAAATGGGAGTTTCCCTGCACAAGCTCTCTTTTTGCTTTCCACCATAAGACTTGACTTTACTCCACCTTGCCTTCTGCCATGATTGCGAGGCCTCCCCAGCCATATGGAACTGTAAGTTCATTAAACCTCTTTTTCTTCCCAGTCTCATGTATGTCTTTTTCAGCAGTGTGAAAATGGACTAATATTTATGTACATTTTTTCTAGATATATACTTCTTTATATAAATATACATATATATATACTTGCACATATAAGTATATATCTAAAAAGAATATTCAAAAACATAGAAAAGACATTTATTCTTTTCTTAATTAGACCCTGTCTTCTCTATCTTCTTCTTTTAACCTTTATATGTGATTACAATACAACATTTTGGATATTCAGAATTTTAAACTCCGTTCTTGTAGGCACATCTGACTTACACAAGATCTCACAAACTTTTTAAGAATCGGTCGACATTCAAATATTTTCTGCCCATTCTCTGCCTAATTTCTCAACTTATCACTAGGCATGCCAACCACGGGGATTCTAATTTCCCAGCCTTTTCTAAGCTTTCTTGTGACCCAGCTCATTCTCTGGGTAAAACTGACTAGACTTCACTGGGCAAATAGTTAAAGGCTGTTTAATCTATGGATTGATCAGCAACTTATAAAATTACTTGATTAGAAAAGGTTTGCTAGATGAACTAGAAAAGGCCAAGTGAATGAAACAGTAATTAGCAGGAACTGAAATTAAAGGAAACAGAGAGAGAAGAACCTGGACAGAGAACAAGCCATGAAAGATCATGATGAGCCTACATGTTAAAGAATAAAAAATGATAAATAGCAGAATCTTTGAGGTAAAGAACAGTATATAGATTCGATTGAAAAAATGAGCTAATTGTACTGAAAGAAGTGAGTAGATCCTTAGAGAGAAACAGAGGCACAATGCAAAAGAAACTATGTGACACCCAAGACAAGAAACAAATCTTTAATCTAAGTCTGTCTCTATGTTATCCCCCCACTTTCCTGATTGAATCTGTGTATTTTGCTCTCAAATTTGCTTACGTAAAATATGCCCCAATAGAACCATCAATCTGCATCAATTTGCCATCACTGGCAAAATGGCATTATTTTTGAGGAAAAAAAAAATGATCTTGGTTTGAGGGGATTTGGACAACTATTTTCCAGTATATTCTGTTACTCACAGTGCTTGTGTTAGTCTTCTAAACTAAACTTTTTACATTGCACCAATGTAAAAAGCCATATAAACCCCCCAACCTTGTAAGTAATTTATGAAAACTTATGTTATTCGGTAAAAACAAGGTAATTGCAACCCTTATATGCTGATTCCTCAGAGCAGGGAAACATAGGAAATAGACTTGGTGGCAGCTTTCAGTAGGAAAGGAGAGAATTCTGAGTTGCTGGGGGTACAATGGGAACCAGTCTGGGCCTGAGAAATAATTATTTGGGCTACAGTTGGATGACCTATGAGCTACCATCATATTACCACAACAATCAAAATTTTGTATTATATATTGCCTATTGGATTGTAATATTCATACTCTACATGATCTCCTTAGGTTAATTTTAAAAGACAAAGTTACCTTTTAGAGAAAAAAAAAAACAGAAGTTCACTCTATATGTGAATTTTACTTCTTGATAATTCTTTACAAACCATAATTATATTCTATCATAACATTTTCTGCACTAGCATTGAAATGCAATTGGCTGTCGCCATTGCTTGCCCCTTTAGCAAGTTGGTGAGTTTTGCTCTTTCCCACCTGTGTATCCAGGTGTCCCAGCTCAGTTCCCTATGGTGAGCCCTGATGGTGACAGTGATGCTGCCAAAGCAAGATAACTAAAATCTTGTCTGCAAACCATCTTCCCATTCCATGGCTTTGGAAGGGAGCTGGGATTATGCTTGGTCCTTTTCCTTGTCTTCCTTTCCTCAAATTCACTCTCACATTTAAGAAAACATGGTGAAAATGTGCCCACATAAGGCATCTTGACTCTTCAAACTTTAAGATATGTTATACATTGATGACATATAGATGTATTTCTTTATGCTTTCAGGACCTTTGTAATATGTGACTCATTTTTATGTGATGTCTACTAGGGACATTACATAACATGTGATGTCTAGAGAAAGAATGGGATTCTTCAAAAATTCTGCAGTAACAAGAATGAAATCTTCTAAAGCTTACCTGTCAATATGCTAGGTTATGTGTGATCACTATACTATACGAACATTCCAAAATCTTACAGATAGCATGACCATTTATCTGTGTTTTTATAATGTTTTCCCCCATTAGTAATCAACCCATGTTTGCTTTTGAGTGATTAGTTCTCAATATTATCCACCTGCTCGTCTATGCTGTAGGCTTTGTAGATCATTCCCTTCTTCAAAATTATCCTGAAATTTAGTCCTTGGATCTATGTACCTCAGACATTTATCAAGGCACCCCAATTCTCTCACTTTCCAGCTCTTTCTGTTGTCTAGTTATTTACTCTTGGAAGTCTTTGCAGACTTACTTTTCAGCATCAAGATTGTCTTACCATTTTTGTCTCTAAAGCATCATTGAATCTGAACATGACACTTCAATGCTACAGTTCCTAAAATTTTATTTCTTCCTCCATTTATGCAATTTTTCCTAAAATACTATTTCTTTCACAGTCATTTCCAGGAAAATAATCTAATTCAACATAAACTTTATGAATAATCCATTTGGATCCCACACTATGCTAGTTGTACCTTAAACACACTGTAAAAGACCTTATTGGTGGTGTCCAGTAGGGAGAAAAGAATAATTCCAAGTGAAACCACTAGGGAGCTCAATTAGGGCACATTTTCAAGTGCTAAATTCTAGTATGCATACAATATGCTCTTTATAAATATAGAAACCATATTCTTATTTATCTCTTCCTATTTAGCCAATTGCCCATCATGGTCCTAGGATTACAACCACCATACTATATAGGATTTAATGCTTGTCTCTGTATGTACTGATAAAATATTATCCATTAACATACTTTATGTTCAATTTTATTACATATTTTTCTTCATCCTCCATCGGTGTTGTCTACTTGGGATTTTAAGCTTATGTAGGATCTGGCCATGTAGGATTTACTAACTGCACAATCAGCTCAGTAGCCTCCCACAGATTCTAAATAATATTCTAAAACTAACAAAAAAGTTGTATCGATACTTTGTTGATTAAATGAATAGTGCGAAGTTTTCCTCCCAAGTGCAGTGTGTATTTTTATACTTCTTCTAAGCTATAAGTTTCATTAACTTCAAGAACAGTAGTTCCCCTAGTAGTGCCAATTTTTCCATCAAGCAACTTAATAAGGTATAGTTGTAATGCTGGCTACCATTCAGATGGTGACAGGTGGCAGAGAAAGCACACAATGGAATTTTCCATCTGTCTCCTACTTTCTGGCCAAAGCTTAAAGGACAGAGTATGATTTGTTCTATAATCTTCACTTACTTCTTTTCATCTACACACCAATAAAAATAAGTATACTTTAGCTTATGGAGGTTTACAGATCTTGAAGGTCAAAACCATGTGCTTCATCTATCTTCACTTTTTGGAAAAAGTACATTTGTTTATTCCATATGAAAGCTGAATTCTGGCTTAGAATTTCACCCCTTTTCTATGGAAAACATCTTACCTTCCAAAAGCTTTACAATAATCTGAATTCATGTCTCCATACAGAGTAATAAACATAAAGAAGATGGTATACATCCTATTTATTGAATTGCTGAATGCATTAAAGACAACATCACTTCATTTTATTAATAGTTTTGTAAAGTTTAGATTTTGGTGGTATTCATTATGAAAGTAAGATTATAATACTAATAAGGAACATAACTTATGACAGATGGAGAGCTGCAGCTTTAAATTTTGCATATGAGGGAAAATATATATTTTTGATGGAAATGGTGAGTTTTGGAGTAAAATTTTAGTTTTGTTTTTGTTTTTTTGTTGTTTTTTTTTTTCCTGAGACAGAGTCTCACTCTGTCACCCAGACTGGAGTGCAATGGTGCGGTCTTAGCTCACTGCAACCTCTGCCTCCCAGGTTCAAGCGATTCTCCTGCCTCAGCCTCCCAAGTAGCTGGGATTACAGGCACCCGTGACCACTCCCAGCTAGTTTTTGTATTTTTAGTAGAGACAGGGTTTCACCATGTTGGCCAGGCTGTTCTCAAACTCCTGACCTCATGATCCGCCCATCTCAGCCTCCCAAAGTGCTCAGATTCCATGAGTGAGCCACTGCACCTGGCCTAGTTTTTATTTTTTTTTCTATTTAATTTTTCATGATTCTTTTTATATAGCCTGTTCTGTGCCATTATAATGCAGTAAAGTTTAAAAACCATAACAGAGGCAGAAAATATGTAGTTATAAAATGTTTCTAGGGAAATTGCTGTCCTTTTCCTCTCACTGAGGTCTTGAGTGGCATTCTTGGATAACATCTAGTAAAGACTATATTTTAATATGTTTAAATTTAAGTGACTATCTGAGTGAATGGGTTAACTCTATTAAATCCATTTTTCTCAACAATTATTAAATAATGTAAACAAGGCAGTATGCTATGTGATATGTAATAAAGTATATGTCTTTTTTAAGAAGCTTATAATGTAGCATGAAAGAATTAAAATATAGATTGTGCTGTAATCAAAAGGAGTGTACAATGAATGCAATGACAATGGAACATGTATTCTCTCAAAGTCAAAACAAGCAGAGGTCACGTGTGGGTCGGAGCCCATACACTTGAGGAAGGCATTGTAATATTGATGGAAGTGGCATCGCTGTAGAAAGGGCAGAGGATGGTCCAAGTTGTGGGAACAATATGAGTGATGATATTGAGTATGGATAGCACTGAATTTTTCAATGATCTGTAGGTCTAAAAATGTTTCTAGAATGAAGGATGTGAATAAAGAAATAATGCAAATGAGGCCAGAACAGTAAATTGGAGTTAAACTATGTGTCAATGTTTCCCAAATCTGAATGCTCAGAGTGATCATCTGGAAAGCTTATTAAATATCCAGATTCCTTGGTTTTGTCTAAGGCAACTGTATTTTAACAATCTGGTTTGGGCAGGGCTAGTATAAAAGGCAACTCGGATGGTGGTAAACATAGATGCTTCCATGTGAAAGGTTTTGAGAGATTTTGAACACTAGGGAGAAGAAGAAAAACCTGTCTTTAGTTTGGTAAACAATAGGAAGACACTAAAGGTATTGGAAAAGATTAATAAGATGTTAAGAGAAGAGTGCTTTTAAAAGATTCCTCTGATGTGGAGAAAGACAGGTTGTGGCACTGAAAATGCAATGTAAAAAAAGGAACATATAAAATATTGCACACATTGAATTCTTCAGTTTTGGCAAGAAGTTGGGTGTGTGGGATCAAGGAAAATTAAGATTCTGGATAATTCACATAAGTATTCTAGTTTAATCAAGGGAACCGACGATCATTGAGACATACTATGGAAAGACAAAAGTTCAAATGTGTGAACTCTGACAATACCGACATCAGAAAATAGGAAAGAATAGTCTGTAAAGAAGCAGATATAAATCTAGTAGAATCAGCAGGTGAGTGCATATTGTGGAAATAGGTCATAGAATTTAGGAAACTTGCATATAACTGGCAACGTGAACTACCACAGAACAATTGAGGAAGGAGGGACTTGGAAAAGTTAGATAATACTGTTCTGGAAGCCAGTAATGGCTCTAGGGATAACTTTTTTTTGTTGTTTTTGTTTTTGTTTTTTTTGAGAGAGAGAGCCTGAAACAGAGGATCTGGAATTTATCAAGAAATGAGTGGCTAGTTAGTAAGCAGGGGCAATAGAAAGCATTTCTCTTTTGTTTAATTTTGTTATACAAAGGAATGATAGGACAAGAAATTAACAAAGTGTTAGTGAGAGAAAGTATAATTGAAAGAACTGTACTCAAGAAGATTAGTGTGAATGATTTGTGTATTTGTGTGTTGGTATGTGTATGTATTTTAAGAACAGCTTTCCAGTGAAGTATAGCATTCACAAGGTAGTAAGAATATTCTTCCTCAGAAACAGGAGTGAGTGAAGAAAGGAAATAAAAATACTAGGAAAGTGTAGTAAAATGCATTAAGCATTATGGTCCTTGATGTCCAGTATAGCAATATCTTGAATGTATGAGGCAAGAAGAGGATTCTTAGATAACCCTGGTATTTTCAGCTTGATAACCAACTGAAAGGTAATGCTATGATAGGGAGCACAGAAGAGCAGTTACACTGAGGAGAAAGATGATAGAAAGATGATGTGATTTCTTTGAGTGGAGGGGTTTTTGAGGTGTCATGAGGGCATCCATAAGATGTGGTCAGAGGATAATTAAATGTATAGCACAAGAGAACTAACACGATGCAGAGACTTATTTAGGAAAGTCATTTTCAAAGAAGTGAGAGTTGAAGCTGTGGAATAAGATAAAACAGAACAAATGATAGAGTAGGGAAAAAAGGGTTGGGAGTTCAGCACCACCTCATCATTTTTCTGACATCTGAGGGGGTAGATGGATAAAGGTTAGCCAGGGGGGAAGAAAAACAGGAAGGAGCAGGAATAGCGAAAAGGGAATCCTGGAAATATGTGAGACAAAATTGAGAGACGGGAGCTTTCAAGATGAAAGTTTTGAATTAAGAATAAAAGAAACATTAAAAATATATAATCTTATACTTTTTAATGTTCTTGGCTGCTTTCATGAAAGCTATTTTAATAAAGTAGGAAAAAGAGAAACAAGGCTAAAATAGGTTGAAGGATTTCAGACAAGTAGGAAATGTGGGAGCCAGTAATATACACTATTTTTGAAATGTTGTGGAAAAATAGAAGTCACATTCTTAGAGGCTAACATATAAAAGGAGGTTTTTAAATATAAAAGCAATAGAAGTTAAAATATAGCTTGGAAAACAGGATGACTGAATAGGAACAGCTCCTGTCTGCAGCTCCCAGCGAGATCAACACAGAAGGCGGGTGATTTCTGCATTTGCAGCTAAGGTACCCACCTCATCTCATTGGGACTGGTTAGACAGTGGGTGCAGCCCAAGCTTCATAAGCAAAGGAGAAATAAAATCCTTTAGAGACAAGCAAATGCTGAGATA
Source organism: Homo sapiens (assembly GCF_000001405.40). Classification (NCBI taxonomy): domain Eukaryota; kingdom Metazoa; phylum Chordata; class Mammalia; order Primates; family Hominidae; genus Homo; species Homo sapiens. The sequence continues at coordinate 124,238,735 of NC_000006.12, forward strand.
TTTTGTCACCACCAGGCCTGCCTTACAAGAGCTCCTGAAGGAAGCACTAAATATGGAAAGGAAAAACTGGGACCAGCCACTGCAAAAATATACCAAATTGTAAAGACCGTTGACACTATGAAGAAACTGCATCAACAAATTGGCAAAATAACCAGCTAGCATCATAATGACAGGAACAAATTCACACATAACAATATTAACTTTAAATGTAAATGGGCTAAATGCACAACTAGCAAATTGTATAAAGAGTCAAGACCCATTGGTGTGCTGTATTAGGAGACCCATCTCACATGCAAAGACACACATAGGCTCAAAATAAAGGGATGGAGGAATATTTACCAAGCAAAAACAAAAAAAAGCAGGAGTTGCAATCCTAGTCTCTGATAAAACAGACTTTAAACCAACAAAGATAAAAAAAGGAAGGGCATTACATAATGATAAAGTATCAATGCAACAGGAAGAGCGAACTATCATAAATATATATGCACCCAATACAGGAGCAACCAGATTCATAAAGCAAGTTATTAGAGATGTACAAAGAGCCTTAGACTCCCACACAATAATAGTGGCAGGATCCCACTGTCAATATTAGACAGATCAATGAGACAGGAAATTAACAGCGATATTCGGGAGTTGAATTCAGTTCTGAACCAAGCAGACCTAATAGACATCTATAGAACTCTCCTCCCCAAATTAACAGAATATACATTCTTCTCAGCACCACGTCACACTTATTCTAAAATTGGCCACATAATTGGAAGTAAAACACTCTTCAGCAAATGAAAAAGAACGAAAATCATAAAAAACAGTCTCTCAGACCACAGTGCAATCAAATTAGAACTCAGGATTAAGAAACTCACTCAACACCACACAACTACATGGAAACTGAACAACCTGCTCCTGAATGACTACTGGGTAAATAATGAAATTAAGGCAGAAATAAAGATGTTCTTTGAAACCAATGAGAACAAAGACACAATGTACTAGAATCTCTGGGACACAGTTAAAGCAGTGTTTAGAGGGAAATTTATAGCACTAAATGCCCACTGGAGAAAGCGGGAAAGATCTAAAATCGACATCCTACCATCACAATTAAAAGAACTAGAGCAGCAAGGCAAACAAATTCAAAAGCTAGCAGAAAACAAGAAATAACTAAGATCAGAGCAGAACTGAAAGAGATATAGACACGAAAACACCTTCAAAAAATCAATGAATCCAGGAGCTGGTTTTTTGAAAGGATTGAAAAAATAGATAGACCACTAGCCAGACTAATAAAGAAGAAAAGAAAGAAGAATCAAATAGGCACAATAAAAAATGATAAAGGGGATATCACTACTGATCCCATAGAAATACAAACTACCATCAGAGAATACTGTAAACAACTCTATGCAAATAAACTAGAAAATCTAGAAGAAATGGATAAATTCCTGGACACATACACCCTCCCAAGATTAAACCAGGAAGAAGTCAAATCCCTAAATAGACCAATAACAAGTTCTAAAATTGAGGCAGTAATTAATAGCCTATTAACCAAAAAAAGCACTGGACCAGACAGATTCACAGCCAAATTCTACCAGAGGTACAAAGAGAAGCTGGTACCATTCCTTCTGAAACTATTCCAAACATTAGAAAAACAGAGACTCCTCCCTAACTCATTTTATGAGGCCAGCATTATCCTGATATCAAAACCCGGTAGAGACACAACAAAAAAAGAAAATTTCAAGCCAATATCCCTGATGATCATCAGTGCAAAAATCCTCAATAAAATACTGGCAAACCAAATCCAGCAGCACATCAAAAAGCTTACCCACCATGATCAAGTCAGCTTCATCCCTGGGATGTGAGGCTGGTTCAACATACACTAATCAATAAACATAATCCATCACATAAACAGAACCAATGACAAAAAGCACATGATTATCTCAATAGATGCAGAAAAGGCCTTCAAAAAAATTAAACACCCCTTCATGCTAAAAACTCTCAATAAACTAGGTATTGATGGAATGTATCTCAAAATAATGAGCTATTTATGACAATCCCACAGCCAGTATCATATTGAATGGGCAAAAGCTGTAAGCATTCCATATGAAAACCAGCACAAGACAGGGATACCCTCTCTCACCACTCCTATTCAACATAGTTGGAAGTTCTGGCTGGGGTAATCAGGCAAGATAAAGAAATAAATGGTATTCAAATAGGAAGAGAGGGAGTCAAATTGCCTCTGTTTGCAGATGACATGATTGTCTATTTAGAAAACCCCATCGTCTCAGCCCAAAATCTCTTTAAGCTGATAAGCAGCTTCAGCAAAGTCTCAGGATACAAAATCAATGTGCAAAAATGACAAGCATTCCTATACACCAATAATAGAAAAACAGAGAGCCAAATCATGAGAGAACTCTCATTCACAATTGCTACAAAGATAATAAAATACCTAGAAATACAACTTACAAGGAATGTAAAGGACCACTTCAAGGAGAACTATAAACCACTGCTCAAGGAAATAAGAGAGGATACAAACAAATGGAAAAACATTCCATGCTCATGACTAGGAAAAATCAATATCGTGAAAATGGCCATACTGTCCAAAGTAATTTATAGATTCAATGCTATTCCCATCAAGCTACCATTGACTTTCTTCACAGAATTAGAAAAAACTACTTTAAATTTCATCTGGAACCAAAAAAGAGCCCATATAGCCAAGACAATCCTAAGCAAAAAGAACAAAGCTGGAGGCATCACGCTACCTGACTTCAAACTATAATATAAGGCAACAGTAACCAAAACAGCATGCTACTGGTACCAAAACAGATATATAGACCAGTGAAACAGAACAGAGGCCTCAGAAATAATGCCACACATCTACAACCATCTGATCTTCGAAAAACCTGACAAAAACAAGCAACGGGAAAGGATTCCCTGTTTAATAAATGGTGTTGGGAAAACTGGCTAGCCATATGCACCCTTGTTTTTTCATTCTCGTGTTTCCTATAATTGAGAAAAGCTTTCTACTGGAGAAATTACTATAAATCCCTCCACTGTTAGACCCTTTCCTTGTAAAATCTATTTAATATATTTTTTTTAAAAGTACTATCATAATAAAAATGAAAATGTATATGACAGAAAACTGAAACTGGACCCCTTCCTTACACCTTATACAAAAATTAACTCAAGATGGATTAAAGACCTGAACATAAGACCTAAAACCATAAAAACCCTAGAAGAAAACCTAGGCAATACCATTCAGGACATAGGCATGGGCAAAGACTTCATGACTAAAACACCAAAAGCAATGGCAACAAAAGTCAAAATTGACAAATGGGGTCTAATTAAAGAGCTTATGCACAGCAAAAGAAACTATCAACAGAGTGAACATTCAGCCTACAAAATGGGAGAAAATGTTTGCAAACTATCCATCTGACAAAGAGCTAATATCCACAATCTACAAGGAAGTTAAACAAATTTACAAGAAAAAAACAGCCCCATCAAAAAGTGGCCAAAGCATATGAACAGACACTTCTCAAAAGAAGACATTTATACGGCCAACAAACATATGAAAAGAAGCTCATCATCACTGGTCATTAGAGAAATGCAAATCAAAACCCCAATGAGATACCATCTCATGCAAGTTAGAATGGTGATCATTAAAAAATCAGGAAACAACAGATGCTGGAGAGGATGTGGAGAAATAGGAATGCTTTTATGCTGTTGGTGGGAGTGTAAATTAGTTCAACCATTGTGAAAGACAGTATGGTGATTCCTCAAGGATCCAGAACCAGAAATACCATTTGACCCAGCAATCCCATTACTGGATATATACCCAAAGGATTATAAATCATTCTACTATAAAGACACATGCACACATATGTTTATGCAGCACTATTCACAATACCAAAGACTTGGAACCAACCCAGATGCCCATCAATGCTAGACTGGATTAAGAAAATGTGGACGTATACACCATGGAATACTATGCAGCCATAAAAAAGGATGAGTTCGTGTCCTTTGCAGGGACATGGATTAAACTGGAAACCATTCCGGCAAACTAACACAGGAACAGAAAACTAAACACTGCATGTTCTCACTCATAAGTGGGAGTTGAACAATGAGAACGCATGGACACAGGGAGGGGAACATCTCACACGGGGGCATGTCAGGGGCTGGGGGGCTAGGGGAGGGATAGCATTAGAAGAAATACCTAATGCAGATGACGGGATGATGGATGAAGTGAACCACCATGGCATGTGTACACCTGTGTAACATACCTGCAGGTTCTGCACATGTATCCCAGAACTTAAAGTATAATTAAAAAAAAAAAAACCCAAGGGCGGAGTAAAAGGAGATAAAAGTGAGTAAAAGCACAGATTTGTCATAAGAGATCTGTTGAGAAAGGTGGAAGGACAGAAGTAGGTTTCAAAACAATCACGACATGTTCTGAAACAGGAGGTAAAGAGGGGAAGATGAAGAGGAAGATGTTGGTTGGCTGGGTGTAGTGGGTCACTCCTGTAATCCCAGCACTTTGGGAGGCCCAGGCAGATGTAACACTTGAGGCCAGGAGTTGGAGACCACTCTGTCCAACCTAAGAAAACTCCATCTCTACTAAAAACACAAAAGTTAGCTGAGCATAGTAGCACATGCCTGTAGTCCTAGCTACTTGGCAGGCTGAGGTAAGAGAATAACTTGAATCTGGGAGGTGGAGGTTGCAGTGAGCCGAGATCATGCCACGGTACTCCAGCCTGGGTGACAGAACAAGACCCCGTCTCAAAGAAAAAGGAAAGAAAAAAAAAAAGAAGGAAGATGCTGGAACTGGGAAGTTTGAGGAATTTGGCAGCCAATGTATTGGAAATGTCATCCATATGGATCTTCAAATCACCAAGATTGTTGGTAACTATGGCCTTCCATAAATGTACCTATGGTTTTGTAGTAATTATGTGTGGAAAACTGTATGATTCCTCAGTATTTATTTGGTTTTCCCTGCACTTTCTCTGCTACCAAACATCAGAATCCTAGATCATTGGATAAGCTGAAGTTTTCAGCAACTCTAATTTGACTGTCACTACTTTTCTTATCTATAGTAGATGTTGTCCACAAAGTGACCACGTTATATACAGGAAATATTACAATCACATGTCAAATTTTGTTCTCAAATTATTATTAATTTCCCAAAATATTATGAGTCTTTTGTATATCTTGTTGTTTATAATGACAATAATTTGAGCCTTTTGTTTATTGGAATCTTCTTTATTTTCATGGCTATGGAGGCATTCACATCAGTTTCCTTGAGAAAAATCAACTACCTAGCCAATAGAAATGATTTCTTTCTGTAAAAGATATCTTTTTTTTTTAATAATTTAATTAGTTCTTTTTTTTTATTATACTTTAAGTTTTAGGGTACATGTGCACATTGTGCAGGTTAGTTACATATGTATACATGTGCCATGCTGGTGCGCTGCACCCACTAACTCGTCATCTAGCATTAGGTATATCTCCCAAAGCTATCCCTCCCCCCTCCCCCCACCCCACAACAGTCCCCAGAGTGTGATGTTCCCCTTCCTGTGTCCATGTGATCTCATTTTTCAATTCCCACCTATGAGTGAGAATATGCATTGTTTGGTTTTTTGTTCTTGCGATAGTTTACTGAGAATGATGATTTCCAGTTTCATCCATGTCCCTACAAAGGACATGAACTCATCATTTTTTATGGCTGCATAGTATTCCATGGTGTATATGTAAAAGATATCTTATCTGCAGGTACAACTGAATGGCTTGTCAAACAGCTTAAGTCAGCCGACCAATCTACCACTATTGCTGCTCTTTGTATTTAAAAGTTCAGCCGAGATGATATACCTAAATAATAGACATTACTCAACTTTCCAAAATACAAACGGGTATCCACCACCACTCCACTAAAGTAAATCAGGAGCATTCTAACAATTTACCATGTTGCCCCTCAAACACAAAAACTTAAGCACCGTAAGGACTAGAACCTTCTTACTTTTGTTTTCTGTTGTTTCCTTGACACTTTACAGGATACTTAACTCTAAATAAATAAATAAATAAATACCTTGTTGAATTAAGGATAATATATGTAGTAAATTTTGGAGGGTAGAGAAGGAATACTAAAATATATTTTCACTAGTGGAAGATAATTTCCATTAGTTTCTGAGCTTACCATGGTTATCTCAAAAATATTTTCATTTGTCTAGAAATTTTGCTCAGTATTTTTTAATCCACAACTCAGCCACTTATATATATTCCTAGTGCATGTTGGCTCCATCCTCAAAGTATAGTTTAATTGAAGTTCTGTTTCCTTGGTGCATTAATTAGAGAGAGATAAGCTGGTGCATTTTTAGTTTGGGAACATGTCTCTAGCTATTTCTCAGGTGTTTGCGCTTGGCCAACCCTAGTGACATTTTCCTATGTTCTTTTTTCACCTAAGTGTGTTCTCCATATCTCTTAAACCAGATAGTATTTTGAGAGACATTTAATCCATCTGGTTTATTACTTTAGCTCATACACATCACATTTTAGCACTTCAGTGTATCGTAAATGTTCTTTGATTCAAAAGATACTCAGCAGCTTAGTGAATATTTAAAGAATCCTACTCTGGGAGAAATAATATTTGGCAATTTATGCCAATTCCATAATTTTAGCATTTTGACTTAATTTAGCATAGAATTTGGAATCCACAGGAGTGTTATATATATATTTATGGTTTCATTAGCTTCAAATCTTGTAGTTTAGCTACTACAGGTTACTAGACTATTTTCATTTGCTAAGAAAAAAAATGTTGATTACTCTTCAGCTTGAACTTATATTGCCCCCAGATGCAGATTAACCAGAGTAAAAAATATCAGTGCTTCAGTAACTGATATTCAGAAAAATAAAATTAACTTTCTCTGAAATTAGAAGCTTTTACCAAACTGGAATATATCATTGTGTCAGGAGTTGGACGAACATTCTATAGTTTAATTGTTGGGACTTTCAGCTCAGATAGCTCTGAGTTTGAATCTAGACTTTGTTAATTTAATAGATTTGTTATCTTTCACATGCATCACATCCTTTCTATACTTCAGTATCAAATCTGTGAAAGGGGCATATTAAGAGTATGTATGTTATAAATTTGTTATAAGGCAAATATGACATGATACGCATAAGTTGCTTAAAGTGGAACCAAGACATGGTGCTTACTGAATGTTAACTATTGATAAAATATATATAAGCTTCTTAACAGAGTACCTGGTATATGCTCACAAAAGAAGTTTCAGATTATGAAATGTAGTTTCAGATGATGAAATGTCATTTCTTCCCAGTATTTTACATTCAGCACCCCTCCTCAAAGCGGTTTTTGTTTTTAGTGTCTCAAAACTGGCATTTTTCTCTGTTTTAACCATAGTTTCTGTTATTATTGCAGCTAAGGGAACTAATAAGATAGTGTTTCAATGGTTTCGGGGATTCTTATTTATAGTCCATTCTTACTGCAGTTCTTTCCCCCACAGTGCCACTAGGTTGATCATTTAAATGCACATGTCTGATCAACCTCATTCTTGTTCAAAAGACATTGATGTCTCTCCATTGTCTATTGCATATATCATATTGGTCATCATGCCATTCAGTATCACCCAACTTGACTCACATCAGCATCAGTGACCTCCCCAAATCTTCTTGAAGGGGCCAGCAACACTGGGTCTCTAGACATTTCTCCAAAACAAGATAATTTTTTACACCTGAGATTATGCCCAGCCTACCTCCACAACTCATAACTCAGTTATCCCTCTATCTGTGTTTTATGGTCTGGTTGTCTTAAAAGTTTTATGACCTATTTTGGGAGGAGTTGAAACAAATCCGTGTGGCCTCGACACCTCTTTCATAGTGAGATGAGTTTGAGGAGCAATACAATAGATCTGGACTTAGAAGGCAGACTTTACAGCCTAACACCACAACCTATTGGGAGATGGACTTTTGAAAAGTTCTGTCGATTGTTTCAGCACTGATTCTCTCAACTAAAAAAGGGAGCTATCACCCGTTTTCTCTCCCTCACAAGGTTTTTGTGGGGATGAGGCACTGTTTTGGTTTTCTATTGCTACCATATCAATTTACCACAAAACGTATTGGCTTCAAACAACATAAATGTGCTTTTCTTATGGTTTTATAGGTTGGAGTTCCAACACAGGTGTCCCACTGGGCTACAACCAAGATGTTTACAGGACGGTATGCCTTTTTGGAGGCTTACGGGAGCAATCCATTTTTTTGCCTTTTTCACCTTCCTGAGGCCTCTGGCAGGTCTTTGCACATAATTTCTACATTTCAGAACCAGCAGGGAGATAGTGTTGTGTCCTTCTCATACTGCCTTCACTCTCTGAGCACTGCCAGGAAAAGTTCTTCACTTTAAGGCCTCATGTGATTAGATTGTGCCCACCCAGAATGCAAGGGCGGGGTCATGGATAACTTTTGGAGCCAACCTAAAAGTAACATTTGTCCACCCACCAAAATGTTTAGTGATTGTGCCACCCCTGTGATGTTTCTTTTGAAACAGATGAAAGTTCAAAACTCTCTGTGTGTGAGTATATGTTTGTGCTGAGACATTTTTAAAAATTGCTTTTGCTTCGAGAGCAAAGCAGGAGACATTAATGTCTCTGAAATGATTTCACAAGAAATGATAGTGAAGTGAAAAAGCTATTTTATTTCTTTTCCGCAATTTCTACTCAACGTCATAAACTTGAGAATTTAATTCCACTAGTAGAGAATAATTTGGATCAAGTCCTCAGATCTATATGATATTGGTATATCAGAATGTGAAAACGCTTAGGGATGTCCTCAAGTCAAGAAAGACTCTCCTGGAGGTGTGCAGGAAGTGACAGGACAATGGCTCCTCTTTGCATAGATGCAGCATGTAATAAGCCAAGTACTGCAAGTGTTGTGAAGAGTTTTTTCTTTATCTCTCCTATATTTAACAACAAGATTGCCTAGACATAGAATATAAAATTTACATGTGGCTGATGCAATGATTATTCCAGTTCTCTTTGTGGATTAAGTTATATATTGTTGGGAAACTAACATAAATATATTCTGTATCCATCAGTGGACTGAATTTTTTCACATCAGTTTTCCGCTGCTATCATTCAGATGTCCTTAAATTATGGACTGAGTTACTATACCATTAATTGTATTTAATTAAGTAGGAAGAGTCTTCTAAGATGAATTAAAAGAGTGTTAGCTATTGTTGAAATAATCAATGCATAGAACACTTAAACGAAAAGTGACTCTTCATATCATACCACTCTTTAAAATCGTAGCCTTTTCTCCTTTAAACTGATGAAGAATTTCTTGTGAATATGTGTAGGAGAGACAAAAAAGACAAAAACAAATGAGCTCCAGAATACATTTTAGTTCATTGACCAGTATGTCAATAAAATTTTAATAAGATTTTCTGTCTTACAATTTTGGAACTTGAATGATAGATTAGGGTTCTGAGACCATTTTTCTAGTAATCTTCTTTTGTCCTCAGTTTCTTCATTTTGAAATGGAATGATCATAAAATGGTTTTAAGTTGCCTTCCACTTAAATGTGATGTCTTGGAAATTGAACAGAGGTGGCTTATAGCGATTGTACATAAATGCCTTCTACTGTTAAGTGGTTAATTAGTATCCCTGTGTTTGTTTTATGTCTTCCTTCCCCCCCACCGAACCTTTTCCCAAATAAACAAATTTATTTATTTATTTATTTACTATTGCTCATATACTTCAAAAGTGAGTTAACTAATTACTTATTAATTCCCAAGGATTTTTAAAAGGCTCTCTTAATTTATGTCTTTATGCTTCAAACATTATCATACATTCCTTAGTCTGTGCTGTACTTTATTATTAACCAAAAATAAACTACCTTAAGTAGTTTATAATTGTGTATGTGGAGCTATAATTTTATATGTGTGACTATAACTTCCCCTAGCAGATTGAGTTGTAAAACCATATTTTATAAATCTTAGTACAATGCCACTGGGCATATATATAATAAGCACATTCTTTGGTTATACAAGGCATGCTTCTTGTCATACAGGCTTATGATCTAAATCTGGTGGTAGACTAAGGAACTGAATCTGCTTGCCGACATCAGTGTGCTAACACAGGATAAGGAAAGGGCAAAATTACAGCAAACTTTCTCCTGTGATAGACATTATATAACCTCAAAGCGTAACTATCCCATCAGAGCATCCTATTCTATACACAGATGTTGGGCAATGAAGTGAAATTAACAGGCAAGTAGCAGAAATGTTCTGAAGACAAAATGAGTTACTAAACTTCAGTTATTAAATCTCAATAAATAGTGAAGAAGAACTGTTGGTCTGGTTCTTTAAAAAGGATATATTTAAATATATAAACAAATGCAGAGCCTACTGCTACACAATTTGCTGCAATTTGTGAGCAACTACTGTGTTACTATGTAGCCACAATACCTCTTTCAATGGATTAGTCTAAGGTGGGAAAAGTTTGTTTCAGACACTAAATGGTAGTACCAGGATACAAGGTTTGCCTGACAGCAAAGCTCCTCCTCTTTCCTCTGTCGAAGTGAGTGGATTCTGCAAAACAATGGTCATTATAACGAATCAAAGGATATCTTTGGTACTTGTGATAGAAGAGAGTGGGAGACAAGACTGTTTTTAGGGAGAGCTATGGGGGGTAGTCATATGAATCACATTGAATTAAATCATTAAGGCAAATGTTTTATACATGTCAATTTATGGTCCAGGTTCTCTCACTAAGAAGACAGGATGAGGCTTCCATTTTTACTAGTATGATGGATTAGTTACCCTGAGCACAACTCTTCTTACTGAAACAATAAGATGCTGGATAAAAATATTTCTAAAAATCTGTTTAAATGCACTTTGGGGCCAGCACACACACACACGCACAACAAGGAATCCAAACAGTACCACAATAAAGTGAAAGTGGGACCCATGGGAGTTTAGTGGACACCCAGTCTAGCTTTCATCCTGAGGGTTTATGTTGAACTCTTGTGTCCTGGAGTTTCTTCTTTGAAGGCTGCCTGAAGCACAGAGAACAGAAGTTAAAACTTAGAGCTGGCTGGCCAGATGTAGGGAAGCTAATATGAGATCTCAACAAAAAGCTGGATTTTCAAAGGACTGTAGCCTATATAAAGGTGAATGAGAAAGAAGTCCTGTCACAGAAGAAGATAGCAAGGAAACTTTTCTGTCTTGATCTTGGTACTAGGATAAGGGGGACAGGTGTATTTTGAGAATTCATGTGTTGAACCCAATCTCCAATGTGAGGACATTTGGAAGTGAACCTTTGGAAGGTGATTAGGTCATGAGGACAGAGCCCTCCTGAATGGAATTAGTGCCCTTTTAATAGAGGCCCCATGGAGATCTTTGCTGTTTCCACCATGTGAGATTGTAGCTTGAAGATGGCCATTTATAAATCAGAACATGGGTACTCACCAAACATTAGATCTGCTGGTGCCTTGATCAGGGATTTTCCTGCCTCCCAAAAGGTGAAAAATACATTTCTGTTCTTTGTAAGCTGCTCAGTCTGTGATATTTTGTTATAGCAGCCTGAATTTAACAGAATTTTTGAAGAGCCCAATCTTAAAATCCAGTAATCCCAAATAATTCAAAGGAGAATAAATTAAAAAAATAATTACAACTAGGCATACCATAATAAAACTATGGACTCCAAATACAAAGGGAAGATTTTTAAAACATCTAGAAAATAATCACATTATTAAATTACCGGTAATTTAATTGATGTCAGACTTCTCAACAGCAACAATGAAAACAATAAGACCGTAAAATAGTACCTTCAATCTACTAAAAGATAACAATTATTAACCTAGAATTCCAAGTGCAGGAAAATTATCTTGCTAGCATTTGGTCAAAATGAAAGTCTTTTAAAGAAGTGAGAGAATTATCAATAACATATACTCACTAAAGGAAAATCTAAAGGAAGTGCTTCACATAAAAGGAATATGATTGCAACTGGAAGGTAGGAGACTTACAGAGGTAATGTTAGTAAAGATATAGGTACATACTAAGTATATATGAGTAAATATTGAATGAATAAAAATTATAATAATCCTAATTCATAACGATGAAAAGAGTAGACTAATGGGCAAAAAATGGCACATATTCTAAGAAGAGATGGTCAGAGGTGTTGATATCTAAGGACTTGGTATCATCTGAAGAAAGATAAAGATTATTATTTAAATGATGGCAAATAAAGTATGCATTCTAAAACAGCTAAAGTAATCACTAAAAGAATAAACACAGGTAAACTTTCTAAACAAATAAAAATGAAGAATTGAATGGGGAATTTATTGAAATCTATTGTTTTAAAATAGGACAATGTACACAAAAAGGAGAGAACTAGAAAACATAAAATAAGTTTGTGGAAGTAGTAATACTGAAAGCAAGTTTGTAGAAATAATAATACACATAAATTGACTAAACTCTCCAGTTAAAAGAAAAAGATTTTTGGATTAGATTTTTTAAAAGCCAGCCATGTTCTGTGTTAACTTAAAGTATAAGGAGACAGATTGAAAACTAAAAAATGGAAAAATACATACCATGTAAATTTTATCCAAAAGAAAGGTAACATGTCTGTATTCTTAGCATAAACACTTTTTTATTCATCAAAATATTTATAAAGAGAAGAAAAGACATGTCAAGCCCAGAAGAAGTTATTTCAACAACATAATGAGCACCACAACAAAAAGATTAATTTACCAAATATGTAAAAAACTTATATAACTTAAGGAAAATACTAGCACTCAGTAGAAGAATGGACTAAAGAAGTAAGCAGACATTTTACAAAAGAGGAAATCAAAATTATTAATAATTATCTCTATAAATATTAAAGCTCTTTAGAAGTAAGCAAAGTGATAATTAAATCCACATTGAGAACCTATTATAAAACCACCAGATTGGCAAACGCTACAAAGTTAGTCAATATTGTTGGTATGTACTACTGGTGTATGAGTGTCAGTGAGGATGTGGTGCAAAGGGACCCTTCAATCTCCTCTGATAGGAATTCAAATTGATAGAACCCTTTGGAAAAATGTTTGATATTACCTAATAAATATTGGTAGTTTGTACATTATACTGCCTAAAAAGTCTACTTCTAAATGTAAAACCTATAGAAATTTTTGAACCTGCAAAGAAGATATATATAAGAACATTACCAACACAAAGAAATGTTAAATGTTTGAGATGATGAATATGCTAATTATCCTGATTTGATCACTATATATTACATGTATTGAAACATCACTATGTACCCCATGAATATGTATAATTATTATTTGTCAATTAAAAATGAAATGTTAAAAAAGAATATACATATAACGGTAACATTTGCAACAGCATGTGTGCAGGTATGTGCTCATGCGTGGTTCACATAGTCACACAAATATACACCAAAAATGAGAATCTACCCAGAAATCCATTAACAGTAGAATGGATAAATAAATGCCATATGCATCATTGAAAATTGATGAAAAATCTACAGGTAAATGTATCATACCAATCCAATATCAAAAGCATACTTTTGAGCAAAAAGAATAAATCATAAAATAATTTCTAAACTATGAATCATTTCTGTAATCAGCTTAACATATGTGTTTAGCGATACAGACATAGGTGCTAAAACTACAAAGAAAGGAAAAGGAATCATTAATACAAATTTCAGGATCATCCTTACCTGAAGGAGGAAGATGAGATGATAAAAGGAAAATGGGGGTGGATAGGCACACATGGGGACTTCTAACTTACTGGCTATATTCTTAGTCTTGATAGATATTTTCATTCTTTAAAAATATATGTGTGTGCATGTATAACATGCATAACATAAATATATGTATGTGTGTAAATATATAAAGACAAACCTAGGTGACAATTAGACATTAGTTAAAGTATATTCCAAATTTATCAGAGTAGAACAGAAGAAGATCCAGTTGCTTCTCCTTCCTCTTCACTTCAGTGTGATGGTTAAAAACAGAATTACAGTTTCGGGGTTCAGTCAACTACCTTTGTGATTTTAGGCAAGTTACTTAGCATCTCTGTGCCTCAGTATCCTTATCTCTAAATTAAAGATAATGATAATGTCTAATTCATGAGGTTGTTAAAAGGCTTAAATGAGTTTACATTTGTAAAGCACTTAAAACAGTGCCTGATATAGAACGACAACTATACGTTAGTTAAATAAAATTTATAAAAGCATATCCCTTTGTCTTCCTAATTGTAGTTCTATATTTACTTCTCAGAATCCATAAGATAACAAAGAGAGGAAAAATACCAAGTGGTACCTGGATTGGTTTCACACTGAATATATAGAATGACATGGCGGAGAATTGATATTTTTACAATATTGAGTTTTGAAGTTCATGAACATGGTCTATCCCTGTATTTATTTCAATTGGTCTTTTCTGCCAGTAATGTTTATAAATTTCAGTGTGGAAGCCTTGCACATTTTCCACTAATTGTATTTCTAGTTATTGATAAATGCAGTGCTATTTAAAATATATCTTTTATCAAAATGTCATTTCTAAATGTTTGTTGTTACTGAATATAAATAACATTTGCTTTTGTATGTGGCAAATTCACCAACCCAACTTAAAGCTTTTCTGTAGATTCTAATTGTTTACACAGGAAATCATGTCTTTTGCAAATAGTGATGATGTTATTTATCTCCATATGAAGGGATTAAAAAATAAAATAGGGATGGAGTTATATTTTTAAGTCAGTCTCTGCCAAAATAAAGCACATCTAGGGCAATTTGTTAGTGTGGAGGCTGCTTTAAGTCCTCCCTAGTCCAATAGGACTCTCTTTCTTGTGGTGACATATGTGTGTGTAAGTGTTCAATTACTACTATTATTTACCTTGAAAATCAAAAGTAAACCCTCCCTAAACCCTGATAGCATTCATTATAAAATTTGCATGGTGAACCATGAATGTTATTTGAAAGAATGCAATAGCATACCTGTTATTTTCCCACTATATCTTGATAACTCACTCTGTGACTCAGAAATTGTCTTTTCTTTTTGTATCATCTTCTCTATAATACTCGGTTGTTTATGTGCAATGTTCTACTTTTTTTTTTTTTTTTTTTGAAACAGAGTCTTACTCTGTCACCCAGGCTGGAGTGTAGTTGCATAAACCTCCACTCCCCAGGTTCAAGTGACTCTTCTGCCTCAGCCTCCCAAGTAGCTGGGATTACAGGCATGCACCACCATGCCTGGCTAATTTTGTATTTTTAGTAGAGACGGGGTTTCACAATGTTGGCCAAGATGGTCTCGTTCTCTTGACCTCGTGATCCGCCCGCCTCGGCCTCCCAAAGTACTGTGGGGATTACAGGCGTGAGCCACCGCTCCCGGCTAATTTTGTATTTTTAGTAGAGATGGGATTTCACCATGTTGGCCAGGATGGTTTCGAAATCCTGACCTCAGGTGATCCGCCTGCCTCGGCCTCCCAAAGTGCTGGGATTACAGGCATGAGCCACCATGCCTGGCCTAAGTGTTCTACTTTCAATTGAAGTAATTTGCCCAATTGAGCAAATTATCATTCCTGTTTTGTTATATTTAGCTAGCTGATGGTAAAGGACATCCCTATGAGAGCAACATCTGTCAAAGTATTGTACTTTGTTTTATGAAGAGACTGGCTTTTAGGAAATGGTGAATTGCTTTCTTCTTGCTTTTTGTG
Source organism: Homo sapiens (assembly GCF_000001405.40). Lineage (NCBI taxonomy): Eukaryota > Metazoa > Chordata > Mammalia > Primates > Hominidae > Homo > Homo sapiens. The sequence goes on from NC_000006.12 coordinate 124,254,441, forward strand.
GTGGGAGGCACTAGAGAGTGTAATAGAGCAGTGTAGATTGATTTGTATTTTTCTTTTCCACTTGTGTTGGGTTTTGTTTCACTATTATATTATAAAAACCAAAATAATGGGAGTTTTCCACAAATGGAAGGATGTGACAAATATAGGTGTGATTCAGCCCAAGATAATGATTTCGAATATGAAGAAATCCTACTTGAAGGACTTGGAAGTCTTATTACATTACTTCATCATTAAAACGACACTAAAATTTGATGGTAGTTTCCTCTAAGCACTGTTTTACCATCCTTAAATATTGAAGTACTAGAACTCTAATATAGAAATATTAGAAACATTAAAACTAGATAGTAAAATGCTTTAACAACAGCAACAAAAAAGCATTACAAAACAATAGTATAACCTAACATATGCTTCATCTCTTCATGAACACCTAATTATTACTCTAATGTAGTCACCTCTATTTATAGTCAGCTTTTTATCGTGCTTAATAGCCTTTCTCGTTAAGTCCCCTGACTGCTTTAGTCTTCACCCTGAACAGAAGTCTCCTAAAATTGAGGCCAGGTGATGAATTAGGCCCCTTGGCTCCGATAGTGAACTAGTAGAGTCCGGCTGTCTAAACAGCTATTCCTGTTCAATTGCATTAGTGTGTTTCCCTCCAGGGTGATAATTGCTCAGAACTCATTGTGGCTCATTTCTTTATAATGCCCATAACAGTGCTTTTACAAGGGAAGGAATTGCATATTTTAGTGCTGTGATAAAATGCAAGAAGGCATGCTGCTGTAATGTGGTTGGCCCCATCTTGTGTACAGCTATGAACATTTGTATTTATGACAGCCATTTCACACTTGTATATTTGGGAAATGGTGAAATGTTGATGTGCTCATATACCAGAATTTGTGAATCTTTCATATTCTGCTAAGAATAAAAAATACTTATCTAATTTCAAACATTTCTTTGAACAGTGTCTACCTGGGGGTGTGAGGGAAGCAAAGTAGTTGTCTACCTCCTCACTCTGTAAAGATAATACGCATGTTAATTTATGCTGGTAGTTTGAATGAGGCACAGCTGCTGGATAACCATGTGATCCATCTATTTCGCGGAGGATGCCGCATTTTTATTCAACAGCCATGGAGCAATAGAAGGAAAGCTTCCATTTTGTACATTTTTTACAAACGGAAAATAAGAGAAAGGGAGGCTCACCTATGAATACTAAATTAGGGAAAGCCTATCACCGTCAGTGATCAGAATGTTCAAACTTCTTTGTGTTGCTCATTGATGCACAAACAAACCACATGAATCTCTATTTGCTCAAACCATAATTGAAACCATCACCCCAGTCATAACCAGTTATAGGATGCTTGCCTTAAAATATGCTCTCACTTGTCCTTTGATTTAGAAATCCCACAGTCTCTTCTGTTTTTCGTTTATCTACCCAAGTCACAGACATTCTGTGGCGCTGGTGTCTTTGGGGCATCGTTTCCTTTCTTAGTTTGCTGCTCTTCAAAACCTTTGCAATCATAAAGGAGCAGCATCACCTTTATTTGAAGCTCCTCTCCACTGAACAAATAGATATGGGAAAGAAAGTTGATTTTAGACATCCAATTAAATCACTCTCTTACAAGGGAAATTACTCCGTGGAGTGTTAACGTGTTAGTCTATTCTCAGCAAGTCAGTTGGCAAAAAGGAAGCCATTTTATCTTTGGGCACTGAGGTTATCATTTGGGCAAAAATACTCTGAAGGTAGGGAAATGTTGTCACAACAAAAATCCAAAAGGTCATCACCCACAGATACAGGTCATAAATTTTTCTTAGGAAAACTGCATTGGTTTATGATGAAGGTGATTTTTCTGTCATATATTTCTGTGAAAAATAAGATAGTTAAGGGAGCTCTTATGTACATATGTGTAATTCATAAACTTATTAAAGAATGAAAGGTACAATCTGATCAATTTTAAATTTAAGCAACCACATTTGCCATTTCAGAGCCCATAGAAAGGTAACCCAGGAAACAGATGTAAACTGGCAATCGTTAATGCTGTTATATATCTTCAATGCCATTACCAGAAATAAAGAAAAAGAAAACACACCATCCTAAATCTGATAGTTCTGTCCTAGTAACATTTCTTTTTCAGTAGTTTAGTATGATTAAGAGTAGATAAGTCTTGGAAATTTGAAAAATCTTAATTTCCAGTCTTTCTCTAATGTTTCAGCTTAGACAATTTAGTTAAAATATCTGTGCCTCAGTTTCTTCATCTTTGCAGCAATTTAAGAGCCCGTATCTTGGCATTCTTGATTAGAGGAAAGATATTTCTGATACATTGTAAACACTAATAAACAGTAGCAAATAGAATGTGTGTGTGTCAACAGGATAGAGTTTATCTTCAAACCATTTTCTTCTGCAGTGTCCTTCCTCCTGGGGTAAACAATGTTTCAATTAGCTTTCTGTTGTTTTTTTTTTTTTTTTTTTTTTTTGGTAAAATATTAGATGACAACTGATATACAAACAACGTGCAAAAGCTATAACTTCTTTTGGAAGTGAGGGAGATAAATACAATCTTATGCCTGAGATCTCTGATGGTTTTCTCGAAGGCGTTGTCACTGACTGGGTTTTGTTTTTTGTTTTTGTTTTTATTTTTTTTTCACTAGAGGACAAGTTTCTACACCTCTAATCAGACTGGTCATACAAAAAAACCATTCCATTGTCAAAATGGATGAAAGCAGATGGCTGAAGAATTTTGAGCTTTTTTTATTTATTGTCTCTGTTGTGCTGAACTAACCAAAGGGTAAAACATTCTCTGGGAATCTCTAGCTTCAAGCCTTGGTTGCCCTTGCATGCACCTTTGAAAATGCTCCACTAACAGAAACTCCTAACTGATGGAGCCAAGTTCCAGATCTGTGGTTTAAGATTTGCTTCAGGGATCAGGTTGCTCAAACTTCCTACAGCTCTTAGGAGCTCAGAGTATGAAATTCATCTTTCAACTCACCCAGAACTAATGTATTTGCCCCATATTTTCTGAACAATGGCTTTATCTTGGAGTATACCATATTTGAGACTTCTTGATTATAAAATTAGAAATTATTTATGTAAATAAAAACTCAATTTTTCTGAACAATTTATGAAAGCCCATTTGAAATACAACATAACCTAATGCAATTTACATAAGACCTAAAAAGGTCTACTCTAATTTCCAGGATATAAGAGGAAATAACAGTCCAAAATAGAGATGGGTTTGCACTTGCATTCCTGTTTCAAAACCTAGCAAATGCTTATAAAGCACTGCCTTGTGGCCAGCACTCCTCTATGAGCTGGACATATATTAATTCATTTAATTTTTTTCTTTTCTTTTTTTTTTTTTTTGAGACGGGGTTTCACTCTTGTTGCCCAGGCTGGAGTACAGTGGCACGATCTTGGATCACTACAACATTTGCCTCCAGGGTTCAAGTGATTCTCCTACCTCAGCCTCCCAAGTAGCTGGGATTACAGGCACCCGCCACCAGCCCCCGGGTAATTTTTTGTATTTTTAGTAGAGACGGGGTTTCACCATGTTGGCCAGGCTGGTCTCAAACTCCCGATCTCAGGTGATTCATTGCCTCGGCCTCCCAAAGTGCTGGGATTACAGGTGTGAGCCACCGTGCTGGCCAATTCATTTAATTCTTAAACAGGCATATGAAGCAGATGCTATTGTTTTACTCTTTTTCAAGATTAAAAAAAAAAAAAAACTGAGGTATAGACAGAGGAATTAAATTGGTCAGATTCACACAGTTGCTGAGTGGCAAAGCTGGGACTGGAATCCAGGCAGCATGGTTCCAAAGCCTGCACTCACACAACTCTGTAGATTTGTATATTTGCATTATTTAGTTGTTTCCAGTGTGCCCTGTGACAGCAAGAAATAAAGGATCAGAACTTAAATTATGGAGGTGATTTTTATTCATTAATCTGTTCCTTCATTCATTTTTTGGTAGAAGTCCTTGAACCAAAAAACCAAAGTTAAGATCTTGTAAAAAGATTTATTTTCTTAGCTCCTTATTTTAGTACATCCAGGGAACTGTGGAAAGCAAAATGATAAACGATAACTTGAAACTATGTAATATCTAATAATATAAAACTGACAGGACTTGAAGCTATATGGTGCAGAGATTAAGAACATAACTTTGGAACCAGTCAGGCCTTCAGACAAGTTACTTAACCTCTCTGGGCACTAATTTTCTCAAACTATAAAATAGGGAAAATAACAGTTTTCACCACATAAAATTCATTCAAAGAGGAAATTAAATAGTACGTATGTAGCAAGTATGAATCTCTGGTAGGCAGGGCCTATATTCTTCACTTTCTACAGAACAACTTAATTTCTTCTTTTAACTTTTATTCTCTTGACTGGTGGCAAATTTAACCTTAGTCATTAGGGGAAGTACTCTCTTCCCTATAGTCTTGTCATGGTTCCATTAGGTTACGTAGTTCCAAGGCATTTTGAGAGCAGTGGATGTTCCTCCAATTATATTTATCATTGGATAATTTAAATTTTCTCAGTCTTCCATAAAGTGCTTTGTAAATCCAGATGAAAGCACAGCCTCTCATCCAAGCTGGGTTTCCTGAGCCCATCTATATAAATGTTGCATGGAGGTGGTTACTGAGGAGGGGTTTACCTCAGTACACCACTGAGGCATCCATCATTCCTGTCTGTCTGCTTCTTCTGGTCTACTGGCCTTTTGTTGATTCTGTACCATATGTGGCACTCTCTACTTAAAAGCCCTTCTCAGCCATTTTCTGTCTCAAATTGGAATAAAATTGATGGAATAAAATTGGAGGTTTATATGGTGGGGAAAGAATACAAGTACATGTGAGTAAACAGAAAGCAGAGAGGGGTACAGAAACCATGAGGATGAGGGGCCTGGCATCTCATTGTTTGGGTGTGGTGGTCTGGTGAGTTTCAGTCCCTTGATACTATCTGGGAGGGCTGAGAGTTGATTTCCTGAGGAAAGAACCCAAATTAGGCAAATGTAAGCTTGAAGCTTTCGAGAAAGTCAGTTTCTATGTTTATTTAAAAAGACTATTACCATCAGTTCTATGGGCCAGTTTCAAAATATGATACCAAAAAACATTACTCAAGGATTTGGTATAAATAGGTTAGTATTCAGTAAGTGCTTGCTTTCATTACTACTAGTCTTGCTGTCATTGTTATTATTGATAATAGGTGAAGAACACAGGGAAAAACAGAACCACCACAGGCCAGAAGACAGAAGAAAAACCTATACCTTTAAAACTAAGCCCAAGGCAGAGTGGGTCCACTTTCTGTCTCTGAAGGCTACTGATGCCTAGATGACTATTATGGTGGTTCTTGGCTATCTACACCCGTGCTGCAGGTGGGGTGATCTCCCTGGACACCTATTTTTTTCACCTTTCATCATTCTTCAAGCTTATATACAAAAATAGAGTGTTATGGGGCCATTCTGTGAATAAGACACTCTAATGCCAAGGGATTTCTGCTTTCTGACAAAGTATACATTAAACCAAATAATGATTAATATTCTTTATTGATTCTAATTGATTATGACTTTGTTGAAGATAATGAACTCAATGATTAGTAATGATTACACAGCTAGTTAGAATTAGAACTGCATCGATAAATCACTCTAATAACAAGCAAGTGCCTTCCATTATAACAATTTTATTATGTCCAAAAAATCATTTTCATAATGGAGATTCATTTAGGTCTTCAGCAATATATATTGAGCACCTATAAAATGTCAAGAACCATTCTATGGACTAAGTATATGTTTGTAAGCCATAGAGAAAAATCTCAGCCTTCAAGGAGCTTACATCCTAGTGGGGAAGATGAGAAATCAGTAAGATAAAAAAGTAGCATGCATAGTGTGTTAGAGGGTGTTAAATGCAAACGAGAAATAATAAAACAGAAATGGGAAGTTTGGAATGTGTGGTCAAGGTGAGATTGTAATTTTAGACAGAGTGACCAGGATAACTTTTGAGTAAATCACTGAAAGAAGTGAGAGAATAAACCACACAGGTGTCAGGGAAAAGAGATCTCCAGGCAGACAGGATGGAACATGTAAAAGCGCTGAGGCAGGAGAATGCCTGCTGTGTTCAAGAATCAGCAAGGAGACCTAGTGGAGGGAATTGCAGGAGAGGTACAGGAGAGAAGGGGGTGGTGAGACAAATCAGGAGACTGGGGCCATTTGCAGGAGGGGTTCCTTTTACTCTGACATGGGAAGCCACTGGAGAACATTTAGCAGAGGGGTGACATGATTTTATTATATTTTAAGAGGATTACTCTGGCTTTTATCCTGTAAATAGATTGCAAGGGAACAAGGGCATGGAAAAGTCTCTAATATATGAGCTATTGTAGAGAAAATTTTGATATAGTTGAGACCCATTGAATTCTAATTCTATAAATTCTCCTTTTCCTGTGCTGCAGTCTGAGAATTTTGAGCAGTGAAATTCTAACTTCTACATTTGTACTTACATCCACTCAACACTCAATAATTGTGCTGAGAGTAATATGTGTAAGATGCAGTTCTTGGCCCTGTGAGAAATACTGTGATGAACTAGAGAGGACTGCCCGCAAGAAATTCTCATTTCAGAAGCTGTGATATAACCTGTAAATGTTAGACTTCAAGAACATTTATAGAGATGGAAAAATAGCATAAAAGATTGGCTACAGTGATGTGGTTATTCAGGTCTCTGAGAAAAACTCTGAGGCCAAAAATGTCATCTAAAAAGATTCCAGATAGGAGAAATAAACAGATAAGCTGTGATACAATCTCGTCTTGTTTTACTTTTCTTTCGTTCCTTGTTTTCATTTTTCTTTTTTACTCTCTTTCTTTTTACTATTATGCAAGAAAACTAAGCATGTTGACATCCATTACTCACAGCCTTAACTGATCACTTTGCCAAATCTCTAAGTTTACAGATGACTACCTAGTTTCCATTTTGAATTATCAAGGAATTAACACTTCAACAATGTTAGTTGCACCTGATTTACATGTTTGAATCCCTCAGACCTCGAGGGAAGTATCTTAGTAACAACCTAGGTGACTGTCATAGTCATTGAGATGTAGTTGAACTGTAGCTGTTAAATGGAAAACATTCTACCACATTAATAGTTGAGGTTTAAATGGCAATTTGAGGCCAGCATGGTACATGACGCCCGTAATCCTAGCACTTTGGGGGCCAAGGTAGGTGGATCACTTGAGGTCAGGAGTTCGAGACTAGTCTGGCCAAGATGGCAAAGCCCCACCTCGGCTAAAAGTCCAAAAATTAGCAGGGCATTGTGGCGTGCACCTGTAATCCCAGCTACTCGGGAGGCTGAGGCAGGAGAATTTCTTGAATCCGGGAGGCAGAGATTGCAGTGAGCCAAGATCACGCCACTGCAACAATCCAGCCTGGGTGAAAGAGCATGATTCCATCTCACACAAAAAAAAAAAAAAAATTTTGAAATGGGGACAGCCTTAATATCCATGCTTTGTTTTTTTCTCTTCAGGCTGGGTTGAGGGTCTCTCCTCTGCTTGCCTGTCACCCAGTAAGTACCTATGTTAGTGGAATGTATCAAAATTAACTGAAAATTTGCGTGTGCCACTCTGCCATCTCTTTGAGGGCAGAGCCAGGTGTTATTCACACCTGTTTATGACCACCACAGGGCCTGACAGACGTTAGTTGTTCCATAAATGTTTATTGCATTAAACCGTTGAACTGGCTGTGACTATGGTACTTAGGCGACTTTCTTATGGAAGGCAAATAGACATTGAATAATCATTTTTGAATGCCAAATATTTATCAAATATCATGCACTCATAATCCAAGGATGCATCAAATTCCATTGCCGTCCTGGAAGAGCCCAAAGTCCAGTGGGGGAGAGAGACTTGAAAACTCATAATTGTGACATGGGGATGTGACTAAACAAGTTTAATCTGAGATTTAGACAGCACAGGGAAGGGCTACTCATCTCTCTTGAAATTGCAGCAGGATTCGCTGAAAAAGTTTAATAAAGAGCTTGAAGAGTGGAATTTGTTTTGTCTTCTAAAGAAAAGTTGGAAACATTACAGGAAATGCACACCAGATATTGAAAGCTCTAGAGGTATAAAAGTAAAAATGCTGTCAATTCCTAAAATAGTTTAGACCTTGTTTGTGAGCATATTGGGTAAGTGGGATGAGAGCTTAAGCCAAAAGCTAAAGGGATTTATCACATATGAGAATGAATTTGAATGTATAGATTAGTTGAAAAGAAATGGAAAGTTATATAGAAATGGTAGGCTAGAATTGTATTTTAGAAAGGTCATTTTGGTGACATATGGAGGGTAGATTAGAAAAGGAAAAGACCAAAAACTGGAAAACCAGTTAGGTTAATAACAAGCAACGATGGGACCTCACATTGTGTATTGCTGTGGTTGGAAATGTGGACTCTGGATCAAGTCTACCTGGGTTTGCCTTCTGGTCTCCATGACCTTGAGCAACTTAGTTAACCACTTGGTGCTTCAGTTTTCTCATCTGCATAAGGAGAATAATAAGGAAAGCTCTTTAAGGGATATTACAAGTATTAAATTAATGAAGCATATAAAGTTCATGACAAATAGTAACCATTTAGTAAGTGTTGCTTGTTATAATTAAAAACTTATTGGACTATCATAAACATTCTGTGAGGAAGATGCAGTGTTTACACTCATTTTATAGTTATAAATACTAAGGCTTCTAGGGTTTAAGTCACTATGATGGCTAAATACTATATTTCGTACATTTGCATATGAAGTACACATACAAGCAGTCATAAGACAGTGGGTAAAATAAGAGTTTATTATTTACTAATATCTATCAATGGATCTTGAATTTGATAGATTTATTAAAATCATGCAGTCATGAAGCTCTCATTCCCTTTAGATTTTTGCTACAAATTCAGAAGTTTAGAGTATAACTGAAGCAACCACAGGGCATCCGTAGAAAACGAGGTTTGAGACTATACAGCAGAAAAGTATAGACTATAAATGATAACTTTTGCTCATTGGCCTTGCTCTGCGGACACAAGCTTCAGTCTGCCTGACTCTGTACCTATATTTCTCCTGTCAACTGAAGAGATACTCTGTAGACTCTTAGTTTCCTAACATGGCCATGTTAATACATTTTACAAAGTTGCATATCTTGTCAGAAGAAAAAAATCATTACATAGTTAATTCCTAGTCTTCTGTCATACTAACAGGCCAGATAAGGTCTAAGGTCTAAGAACTTGTTTGTAAACCGTATCATCTATGCTACTATAAATGTTTGTTTGTTTGTTTAATTTAAACAGCACGTGACAACACCATCTGCCAGCTTAGCAAATGTCCTATGTCCCTCATGGTTCTTTTAAGACAGGTAGTTCTTTGTTACACTGTTACTCAGATATGCATAATATCACTTGGTTAAAAAAAGATTCAAATTTCAGAACCATCTGTGCTTTATCAAGCAATCTATATGGGTGAGTTTCTGATGTGCAAACTATGGAAAATGGCAATTTTGAAGCACCTATCAGATAAATTTTCAGGAATGTGATGAAGGAGCAGATAAAAATCTGTTTTCCTTGTAGGAAAAAGGAAATAGAATACCCTGTGGATAAGTCCTAACTACCTCTTAATAGGTGTTAGACTTCCCCAGCTCATATGGGTTTAAGGCATCACAATTCACAAAGTAAAAGTTTATTTTAATTTTCATAAGAACAATTTATGTGTGTAGCAGAGGGAATGAGAAGCTATTTAACATTGGAGAAGTGCATTAAAAATTATTCAATATTTATTTAGTAGTATTTTGTTTAAACTCTCCTTTTGGATCCTGAGTTCCATAGCTTCTAGTACGCAGATGCCTCACCTCAGCAACCACTCCTGTATTCACTCATCTCCTCTTGCCTCTGTCACTGCCCAGTCTGGGAGATCTCCTAAAACATTACCCGGATGGTATGGAAAACAATAAGCCATAGTTGGCAAATATATATTAAACTTTGAAAGGTTATTTTTTTCTTTATACAGTTCTAAATTTTGGTTCGATTTTTCAGGGCAATCATAAGTTACATTCTAATTAAAAATAAGTCTAATATAGAAAAAATCTATAGTTGGTTATTTCAAATGGCCAATTGCTTCTGATGAAATTGCTCTATAAAATAGATATAAGACCTCCTGTATCACTAAATCTTAATTACATTGTGGAATGTGGAAACTAGCACTACTCAGTAGCTGTAGAAAAAGATTGGACCCCCAGTGGGGAAAGGATGCTGAATAGCAGCTACCATAGCCTTATCATTTTTGCATTTTTGTGATAAATTCTTGAGTAGGGCAGCATCTAAGTATAGTTTTTAATTTTTAGTTGCTTTTTTAAAATCTATATCTCATTCAGTGTTACCTAATATTTAATAACAATAGTGTTTGAACTTGTCTGTGCCAGCTATATAAAATGGTGAATAAAACACCATTCCAATCTTTAATATGTTTAAAATCTAGGTATAAGTCATTTACAATTGATATCTCATAATTTTTATAATATATGTGTTGATAGAAATCACTGCATAAATTTCACCATTTATGCAGACAGGTCCACATCCAAATTATATGGACATATAAGCTGTATGTATATTATATAGCTATATACGTGGATGTACACATGTAGATATAGAAATAGGAATAGATCTAGATATGTACATTTACATTTTCAGAAGTCATTGAGACCTATAGCATTTGTTTTTTTTCAAGTGACTTCATTCAAATATGTTAAATTAATAGAAAGATACATGCTTTCTTTATGTTAGTTAAACTTTACATCATGTCTATGTATTTATTAGGTTCATGTTTGCTATCCATGTCTATTTTTAACAACGGAAACAAACTTTGGAACAGTTTATAATTTAAAAATTACCCTACTCTTAGAAATATTAGAATATAGAAATATTATTTTTTATGCTTCATTTTTAATACTGTTGTATACCAAACTTGTTTAAATAAGTTCAATTCAGGACACATAGCACATACCATTGTTGTAAAATATACCAATTTTAAAGTAAATACATACTTAGAATTTTTAAAATGGATACACTGAAACAAATAGCCTAAAATTGGCAATTTATTTTGTAATAAGATAACAGAAGGGAGTTTAGGCAATTTTATGTGCCTTTTATCAAAAAGCCCAGAGTTATTTTCCTACAGAAAAACCACCAGTGCAAGTAATTAGTAGATTGTGCTTTACTGACCAGGCTGCTTTCTAATTCTCACCATGATGCTACTCCATTCTCTACGCATTTACAGGGCTGTAATTACGTATGAGGCTTTAGACTTTGCCAGGCCAGCAAGGCAATCAGCCCCCTTGGAACAAGTTGAAATGGAAAGCGGCAAAACAGTATAACACCTGGGTGATGTCACACCAGCAAAACCCATGGACTTAGTGGAGCTCACCTGTAGCCAGGGGACTGGAGTCTGAGACTGACATTGTTTCCTTCAAACAGAAATGTGAAATGTCATTTTCAGTAAATCAAATAAACCCCATCAAGAAGAACTGAAAAATAAACAAAACCCAAAACTCCGAGATTAAAAAGACAAAGTAGGAGGCAATACCATTATTTCTAGACTTAGTTATGATTTTTATTCTGTCTACTTGATTGTTCACACCTGAAGCAAAATATATTTTGCATAACTTAATGTAATATTTTTTGAATCCATCATAACCTGTGACCCATAATACTCATGATGATTCTTTATATAAAGAAGCATTCTAAGAATGTTTATTGACAAATAATTTCCTATAAGTTTTCTCTAAAATTTTTGGAGTATAATTTATCTGTTAGGTCAAACTCTATATATGTGACTGAGATATGGCTGGCTTCTCACATTATTTAACCCATATTTATCACTCTGCTGCCCAGACTGGAGTGCAGTGGCATGATCTTGGCTCACTTTAGCCTCGACTTCTTGAGCTCAACTGATCCTCCCACCTGAGCCTCCCAAGTAGCTGGGACTACAGGCACACACCACCACACCCGGCTAATTTTTTGCATTTTTGGTAGAGATGGGGTTTCGCCAGCTTGCCCAGGCTGGTCTTGAACTCCTGAGCTCTAGTGATTCACCCACCTCAGCCTCCCAAAGTGCTGGGATTACAGGCATGAGCCACCATACCAGGACTGATTTAATTGAACTTTTTGCCATGACATTTTACTACTTGGCTAGCCTCTCCCTAAGAAACGTAGCTGATTTGAAACAGAGGTAGAGACACCTTCAAGGTATTAAGACATTCATACAGACCTACATTACTGTAATGTTGCTTAGCATAGTGAGGTAACATAAAATTGGACAAGAGAGTATGGGCTTCAGTTGTCAGGTCTATTCAGATAAAGATATGGATGTGGATATAAACAGTGCATGGATATAGATATAAACATGTAGATATATAGATGCACATACACAATTCTTAGATTTAATGATCATATCTTTAAAATGCAAGGGAAAGGACTACCTAGTCATCCTTCTCAGGCTTTATCTTTCACTTCTGTGATTAGCAAACTTGAAGAATTAACGAAGTCCAATCTAGTGATAAAGAGATTCTATAAAGATAGAAAAGACATTTTAACATTCTTAGAAACTTTCAACTCTGGCAAAATAAAATGTTAAATCACAGGAAGCTTTGCCAACAAACTGTCTTTATGATATATTTTGAAAGGGTCAGAATGGCTGTCAGAACTCTGAAGAACAGTGCAGCTCTAGAACCTGTTACTCCTGCTGAGATTGTCAAGCAAGGACAAATGGATGTACAGGATCCTGATTATTTATCTATGACAAGAAAATTGCTTGATTACTTTCAGAAAGTTAACACCGTTTTCATGAAAGATATCAAAAATGCTAATTGCTACCACTCTTTAGGCTTCTATTTCTTCCAATGTGTGGGCTGTTGGTAAGAATGTATTTTTCAGCCAGGCACAGTGGCTCATGCCTGTAATCCCAGCACTTTGGGATGCCAAGGTGGGTGGATCACCTGAGTTCAGGAGTTCGAGACCAGCGTGGCCAATAATATGGCAAAACCATGTCTCTAAAAAAAAAAAAAAAAAAAAAGAGAAAGTATTTTTCCTAAACAACATCACAAATTATGGTCTACAGAATCACTTGAATGCTCTAGATAATGGTATAATACAGTGGATATATTAAAATTTTTACACAGAATTTTAAGAAATGTGTTGCTTATCACAATAAAGATACAATAAACTTCTCTTTAGACATTGGGACTAATAGTCAGTCAGTTGATCCAAAATATTTTTAAAGCAGTGATAGATACATATCTGACATATGTTACTTTAATTCAAATTATAAAATACTCTTGATATAGAATTAAGGACTCATTTGTGTATGGGATAACTGGTTGGAGCTTTACTATATTTGGCATGAAAAATATCTTTAATTTATTGTCTATGAATTTTTATGTGTTGATTTCTTCACAGTGGAATAAGAACTTTAAAAAGACTTGTAAAATAATTTGGGAAGAGAATCCTTTTATATCTTAATTATTGTTTTTCCACTCATCCTTTAGAAACTCATGTTATGCCTTTATGTAGTCTTTTTAATATGCTTAAACTTCATTTTCATTTTTTAAAACCTTATTTTTCCACTCATAAGTCTATCGTGTATGTAATAATTAAATCATGTAATAACAAGTAAAATTGATATACTTGCATTTGTGTTTACAACAAGCATCGTGTAAACATACAATTCTAGTGATGAGAGCCAACACATGCAAGCACAACTTACTGTAGGTGTGCATGAAATTCAACTGATCAGAGCAGAAGTATGTGTAAGGACTCTGGGAAGCCCACTATCTGTAAGAACATCTCCTACATGATATTTAACTCAAGACATCAGTATAATATTCATATTTGTAAGTAGTTCTGTGCTTTAGAGAGTTCCTAAGCAAATTGGACCCCTTAAAGAAATTTAGCATTCTATTTTTTTCTCCCAATAGTAGTATCAGTTGCTTCAGAGACAATGTCTTAACTTTTTGCCATTGCCAATAGAAGGAAAGTCGTTAGGAGATAGAAGACTGACAGCACAGCAGCAATGGAATATCATGCTGAGCACTATGTGAAGTAGAAAAAAAACTCTATTACTTACATATTTTTATTAGCTGGTATTTTGTGTTGTTTTATCACACATACCAATGAATGCACTGAAAAGAAATGATATGATGAGTTCATGGAACTAGAAAAATCATACTTCAAAGCAAAATATAATGAAATATAAACATATATACACATTTGTATATATTATAACATATATATTTTATATATATACACATTTATTCTACATATTCAGTATTGTATGTGCATATAAATTTTAATACCACTGCTGAAGTGATATCATAATGTTCAAACTTTGGGCTCTAGACAAATCATCTTTACCAAATAACAGCCATGTAACCTTGGTCAAGTTAATCTTTCTCTCTGCCTCAGTTTTCTGATCTTAAAAATGGAGATAATATTTCCTAAGTTATACTGTTGCCTACTTCATTAAATAAGCTCATATGTATAAAATGCTTAGAGTAATGCTATTAATATTAATAGTAGTATGTAAAATATGTGCACAGATAGATAGAAGAAGCATGTATAAAATTTAGCAGTTGAAATGCTTTGAATTTTCATGTTTAAGGTACCTTGACAGAACTTACCATTTTGTGCCTGTACCAGTTATCTAAGCTGCATTAATAGTCTGTGGTAGAACTTCTAAAACTGATAGAAAATATCATGTCTTATTACACTTACCCATGGAAAGCCACAGTCACCTCTGTCAACAGGAAAACAAATATTATGACTACTTCTTTTCAGAGCAGCATCTCCGTATCTGTGTTGAATTCAATACTAGGGTTACTTCAAAGGGCACAGGAGACATGGTATTTACCATACCAGAAATAGCATACCTCATGACAAATTCTAAAACGTCCCTGCAGCCATCTGAAATGATATTCTCTTGTAGTTCTGGTGGCAATTTCTTTTTCTTTTCTTTCTTTCTTTCTTTCTTTTTTTTTTCTTTTTCTTTTTTTTTTTCTGGAGACATAGTTTCACTCTTGTCACCTAGGCTGTGGTGCAATGGTGCGAACTCGGCTCACTGAAACCTCCGCCTCCCAAGTTCAAGCGATTCTCCTGCCTCAGCCTCCTGAGTAGCTTGGATTACAGGTGCCTGCCACCACATTTGGCTAATTTTTATATTTTTAGTAGAGATAGGGTTTCACCATGTTGGCCAGGCTGGTCTCAAGCTCCTGACCTCAGGTGATCCAACGGCCTCGGCCTCCCAAAGTGCTGGAATTACAGGTGTGAGCCACCACATAGGGCCTCTAGTTGCAATTTCTGAGATACTGACTCCCACAGAGACTGCCAGTACATGGTAGCGATCTCAATAACAGTTCTGCTTTCATTTCATCTCTTGATTGGCCTTTAGCAGTCAGAGTAAGTGAGGCTGTCATTTCATCTCCCATCCTTATGAAATTGAATTTTACGAAAGAGACGTCACCTAGAGTTTGAGAGGTTTGATTGACAATCTCCATATAGCTGCCTTGCTCTAGTCAGAGACACTGTCCTGAAACCTCTGCTGATGCTTTCACTTGAGGAAGGAAAGAGCAGATGGGAGGGAAGGGAGACAGAGGAGACACCAGCATGCAGGTCACTGTGACATCTCCTTCTCCTGATGACAACAGCTCACACGCTTCCACCTGCAATCCTATTAAATATAGTACTTGCTTGACAGGAAACAGCTGATGATGGTAATGACATTGTTAAGTCACTGCCTCAAATGGGTGGAGGGCAGCTAAAACGGAGAGGGCAGAACTATTGGAGGGCCATTTTACCTTGTTTTGGATTCATAAAATAAAAATGCAAATGAAACACACAAATATTTATCAAGACCCAAACAGAAAGCTGTCTATACATTGTTTCTCTGATAATGATATATGAGGCATATTTTTGGAAACTTTATCAGCTTTTCAGAAAAAAAAAATCTGTATTTTTACCTAGTTGACAAATTTCAAATTCTCCAGAGGGCAGCTTTAATATGTTTAATATGATTCTGCTGTTAAAAAATAGCAATCGAGTTTTTTCTAGAGAAAGTCATTTGCTATGAGAAAGCAATACCATATGATACATGAACATAAGAACATTGCAAGCTATTTTTATTTGGCTTTTACTGAGCTCTCAATGAATACAAAATCAGTACTGAACAAATAGATGCTGCTGATGATAAACCTAGCAACTTATTCTACTCAATTTCTAAAGTTCCTGTTAATATATAGGCAACCCATCATCCCTCATCTGCTTTTCCATGTATTGGTAATGTTAGCCACTTATTGATGTTTTTGTTTGTGTATACTTGCTAAATTAACAGTAAGAGATATGGGAATAGATTGGAACATATAGATCCATGGAAAGACTGTCATTTGAACAGCTACACCTGGGCCTTCTTGGGTGTTTTGAAAATTTCTGCCCTAAAATCCATTTGGCTTTGTGTCCCCACCCAAATCTCTTCTCAAATTGTAATCCGCATGTGTTAAGGGAGGGACCTGGTGGGACATCAGAGATGATTGGATCCTGGGAGTGGTTTCCCCCATGTTGTTCTCATGATAGTGAGTGAGTTTTCACAGATCTGATGGATTTATAAGTGGCAGTTTTTTTCTTTCTCTCTCTCTCCTGCCTCCATGTAAAAGGTACCTTGCTTCTCCTTCCCCTTCTGCCATGATTGTAAGTTTCCTGGGGCCTCACTGGCCATGTGGAATTGTGAGCCAATTAAACCTCCTTTCTTATTTTTTTTTGAGACAGAGTCTTGCTTGTCACCCAGGCTGGAGTGCAGTGGCACGATCTCGGCTCACTGCAAGCTCCACCTCCCGGGTTCACGCCATTCTCCTGCCTCAGCCTCCCAAGTAGCTGGGACTACAGGCGCCTGCCACCACGCCTGGCTAATTTTTTGTATCTTTAGTAGAGATGGTGTTTCACCATGTTAGCCGGGATGGTCTTGATCTCCTGACCTCGTGATCCACCCGCCTTGGCCTCCCAAACTGCTGGGATTACAGGCGTGAGCCACCATACCCGGCCTAAACCTCCTTTCTTTACAAATTACCCAGTCTCAGATGGTATCTTTGTAGCAGTGTGAAAATGGACTAATAAAGTGGATTGGTACCAGCAGAATACGAAGCTGCTATAAAGATAACCTGAAAATGTGGAATTGGGTAACAGACAGAGGTTGGAACAGTTTAGAGGTCTTGTAAGAAGACAGGAAGATGTGGAGAAATTTGAAACTTCCTAGAGACTTGTTGAATGGTTTTGACCAAAATGCTGATAGTGATATGGACAATGAAGTCCAGGCTGAGGTGGTCACAGATGGAGATGAGGAACTTATTGGGAACTGGAGTAAAGGTCACTCGTGCTATATTTTAGCAAAGAGATTGGCAGCATTTTTCCCCTGCCCTAAAGATCTATGGAAATTTGAACTTGAGAGAGATGATTTAGGGTATCTGGCGGAAGAAATTTCTAGCAGTGAAGCATTCAAGAGGTGACTTGGGTGCCGTTCAAGCATTCAGTTTTATGCAGTCACAAAGAGATGGTTTGGAATTGGAACTTACATTTAAAAGGGAAGCAGAGCATAAAAATTCAAAAATTTGCAGCCTGATAATGCAGTATGAAGGAAAACCCATTTTCTGGGGAGAAATTCAGAAATTTGCATAAGTAACAAGGAGCCAAGTGTTAATCGCTAAGACAATGGGGAAAATGTCTCCAGGCCATGTCAGAGGTCTTTACGCAGCCCTCCCATCACAGGCCCAGAGGCCTAGGAGGAAAAATTGTATTCATGGGCTGGTCCCAGGGCTCTGCTGCTCTGTGCAGCCTCAGCACTTGGTGTCCTGCATCCCAGCTGTTCCAGCTCCAGCCATGGCTAAAAGGGACCAACGTACAGCTCAGGCCTTTGCTTCAGAGTGTTCAAAACCCAAGCTTTGGTGGCTTCCACATGGTGTTGAGCTTGTGGGTACTCAGAAGATAAGAGTTGAGCTTTGAGAAACTGTGCCTCAATTTCAGAGAATGTATGGAAATGCCCAGATATCCATGCAGAGGTGTGCTGCAGAGATGGAGCCATCATGGAGAACTTCTGTTAGGGCAGTGCAGAAAGGAACTGTGAAGTTTGAGCCCCCACACAGAGTACCCACTGGCCCACTGCCTAGTGGAGCCATGAGAAGAGGGCTACTGTTCTCCAGACCCCACATGGTAGAACCATCAACAGCTTGCACCATGCACCTGGAAAAGCCACAGGCGCTCAATGCCAGCTTGTGAAAGCAGCTATGGCAACTGTACCCTGTAGTGCACAGGGGTAGAGCTTCCCAAGGCCTTGGGAGCCCACCCCTCGCCCTGGATGTGAGGCATGGAGTCAAAAAATATCATCTCAGAGCTTTACAATTAAATTACAGCCCTACTGGGTTTTGAACTTGCATTGGGCCTGTGGCCACTTTGTTTTGGCACATTTCTCGCATTTGGAATGGAAACATTTACCCAATGCCTGTTCCCCCACTGTATCTTGGAAGTAACTAACTTGTTTTTGATTTTACAGGCTCATAGGTGGAAGGAAATTGCCTTGTCTCTCAGATGAGATTTTAGACTTGGACTTTTGGGTTAATGCTGGAATGAGTTAAGACTTTGGGGCACTGTTGGGAAGTCATGATCTGTTTTGAAATATGAAAGGGACATGAGATTTGGAAGAGGTGGAATGATATGTTTTGGTTTTGTGTCCCCACCCAAATCTCATCTCCAATTGTAATCTCCATGTGTGGAGGGAAGGACTTGGTGGGGTCGATTGGATCCTGGGGGCAGTTTCCCCCATGCTGTTCTCATGATAGTTAGTGAGTTCTCACAAGACCTGATGGTTTTATAAGTGGTAGTTTTTCCTGCTATCTCTCTCCTGCTGCCATGTAAGACATGCCTTGCTTTCCCTTCACTTTCTACCATGATTATAAGTTTCCTGAGGCCTCCCAGACATGCAGAATTGTGAGTTAATTAAACCTCCATTCTCTATAAATTACCCAGTCTCAGGTAGTATCTTTATAGCAGTGTGAAAATGGACTAATACACCATTTCAGATATTAGCATATATCATAGTGTAAAACTAATTCTGTCAGATGACATGAATATGTCTGATTCATCTCATCATTGATTTGGGTTTCCACACCTCACTAGAACTAAAACAGTGTATCACATTGCTCAATACCTATGATACTCTATAACTGCTTGTAGAAGTGTGTGATTTAAAAGCCCATGGCCATTCCTCTTCCAAACATTAGGTATTTTTTTCTGTGTTATGAATATGTAACCAATTTGTGTGTTAGCTTGACCTTGTATCAGTTGAGACTCCTTTGTGAAGATATTGGAAATTCAAGGTTAAATGGACGCATTATATTTTCCAACTGTTACCTGTCATGTACTTTGAGTGAATCATGAAAACTACCTAGAACAGCTGTCATTTTGATATGTTCTGGTTCTTCTGAGAAGTTAGATTTCCACTGAGTAAAATTATAGGCTCTGTGGAGAAATCAAAACAGTGCTCCATCTACCAGGAAGGCCTGCACTGTGATCTTTTCAGCTCATTTCACATGAGTATAGGGAGACTTTAAACTTAATAAATGAGAATCAGACTACAAAGGTATAAAATTATTTTATAGTACAACTCCAGATAAATGTCATTTTTGTGCCTCTGCAGTATTATTATTCTATTAACTGCATTGATAGTAGAAACTTTCAGTTCATGTTTTTATCAGAAATGTTCTGTTCTTACTGTGAACTAGTCTGTACTGTGAATTGCATAATTTGTAGTAATAGAGTAATAGTAATAATCATGGTTATTTTATAAGGTCATCATAGTGATTATAGGAATTTGCAAACCATGGAGTTATATGTAAAAATAGTTATTAGTGTGTCTTTTCAAACTTTTATTTCATCTCAAGAACAAAGAACCTATTATATTTACTGGCTTATTGAATTAGCAAAGTATTTGGTAGTAAAGCAGAAGCCCTAAAAATTGTGAAAACAATACCATAAGGTTCCCCTGTGTTCAGTTGCTAATGATATGTGGTTGAAGTCATGGCCATGGAAGTTAAAATAACAGCTCTGGAGTTATGATCTTGGACATGTTATGTATTCTCTCTCATCATCAATGTGATTCCCTCATCTGTGCAATAAAGATAATGGTAGATAATCCTTGTAAACGCATGATTTAAAAGTAAGCATTAACTTAAAAACATATTATTTATTGTAGTGTACAGAATATAATAACTACTCAATATATATTAATAATTATTATCACAGAATGCGGACACACTATTCAAAAAAAAGGTGGGAGATTTGTGTTATGATAAAAAAATTAAGCTAAAAATCTAAACACTAAAAAAACCCTATTACTGAAAATCAAGTAACTCTTTGCGATTAGGCATACACACACACTCACATACACATTTATAAAACTTGGCATGTGGACACACACAACAAGGATCAGGAATTCACATGACTTGTTAAGCTCAATTAAACAAAAAACAAACAATATTTTTGTGCTCTAGAGTTAACTTTGTGTTACTTTTTAGAAGAATTTTCTGTTTTTTAAACCTCATATAATATGCTAGTCATCAGCTTGTCTTTTGATAGCATGAGTATTAACTATGAAATGGTTATAAATTGCTATGCAGAATGAACAGCTGTGAGAAATAATAAATGATTCTGTTATCACAACTAGAGTATTAGATGGCATATTTAGAATTATATATAAATGGGATTATTATACAAAATAGTGGAAAAGTCTTAAAATTAACTATTTGACTTCTATGGGGGCTTTTACATAAACTTACTGATTTAACTTCAGAAAAATGTGACTCTGTGTTTCAAAAAGGTATATTAAGAAATGCCATGTATGATATTTCAGTAATACAAATTATGAGAAAATGCACTTCTTGTCTCTATTTGGTTTCTTTGAACTTATGCCAAATCTTCTCCAATATTTTCTTGGAAAGCTTTATTGTGATGAACTATGTGGAGACAGTTTTAAAAATAAATGTTGATTTTCATCATATGTGAAAGGTGGAAAGAGAGGAGGTGGAAACAGAGGAATTATAATGTTTGAAGCCTATTCTTTTACCATAGTACCACAACAGATTTAATATATGGGGTGTTAAATCAGGCAGGAAAACATTTCTCAAGAAAGACCCCCTCCAAATACTTGAGGTTATTTAGGAATATTTGTCATGGTATTATTTGCATTTGTAACCAATAGAATAAGAAACATTTGAACATCTCTAACTGAAATAGTCTGGCAAGAACACAAATATAGAATGATAATGCACTAAAACATGATTTCAAATTTGTATTGAAATATAAAATAATTAATAATAGCATCCATTTTAAGATGCAATCCAGGCATCTTAATAACTAATGTATGTACATTATCACTCTAATTTTCATGAAAATCTTAGGACTTATGTATTATAACATCCCCATATTGTAGATGAAGAAACTGGGATTCATAGAGATTAGTGGGCCGCCTGTAGTCACATAGTGGTTAGAATTCAAACATGATTTTCCAATTCTAAAACTTGAAGTCTGAACCACCATGATATGCTGACTTCTCGTGTAATCAGAGCAATTAGGGCCAAGTCTCTTTTTGGTGGTGTTTCGTTGTGGTGGCGGTGGTGATTTATTTCCTTAATTTTTTTGGTTTTGTTTTTTGTTTTTCTTTTTAAAGAAAAACCATTATATGGAAAAAGGCAGACAATTCTTAGTTCTACTAAATTAGGATAAATTATTATTTTTAGTAATACCTAACAATTTTATTTTCTTCCCCTTGGTGAACACACACACACACACACACACACACACACATACACACCATCCTAACAAGTATGTACACATATATACACATGCATTTGAGATACTTTAGTTATTCAAATGTAACTAAAACTCTTTAAGTAAAGCTCTGTGGTTTGTCCTTTATCTTTGCTCCTATTTTACATGTATAATCATTGCAGACTCAACTTCAAGTTTATCCTCTTCATTTTATATGTGAATCCGATCTCTTGGTAAGATAAAACAAAATTATATCTAGTATATCTCTTGCATATAATGTTTAAAAGCCAGCACATATGTTCTCATTGATCTTGTCCACTACGAACAACACAGAGAATCTTAAAAGGAGAACACTATCAATAATATTTGTAGAGTTTTGCTTTGTGATATTGTGATATTTTAGGCAATCTTGTAAAGAGCACAGCAGCTCAACAATATTATAAAGACCTAGAATATCTTTAAAGTCTTTACAACTTTCTTGGTCATTGGCTTAAAATTAGAGAAACCAACATGGGCATCCTTTCTGACTCTGGAGCAGACAGGCCCAGAGCGTGCTCAAGACTACAGTTTACTTAGGACTACAAACGAATTAAGCAATAGGAATGGAGATGAGCTCTAGTGTGGCAACATCCAGCAAAGGGCAGAGTAAACCTAGACATCAAGGTTAACGCAAAATTAGCAGCTTTACCAAAGTGAGCAGACAACAAGGAAACAGAAATACTGTACTGAGAAGTTGGGCACAGGGGAAACCTGAATCCAAGGCAAAATCACAGGGCAAGGGTTTCCTGCTGAAGGAACAAAATTTTACATGAATCAAGGACGTAGTATTCAAACTTTCTACATCTCATTTAATGTTGTTTTAAGATCTCTGTGGGGCAGGAAACAAAGAGTGGATGCTACTGGAAACTAGAAATTAGCCATACTTGACTGGAATGTAAAAACAAACAAACGAATGTTAGCAGCAACTTTTATTGACAAAAGTATGACCAACACATGGCCATTCTGTAGGTTAGGCTGGAAGTTTATCTAAACTTTAATGGTACCTACAGATGAAATAAGACTTTGGACTCAACCTAGAAACTGTTAGGCCCCTTTTAATTTCCATCTTGGATTTTCCCTAGTAGTATGTGTCTGTGTGTCGTGTGTGTGTGTGTGTGTGTGTGTGTGTGTATCTGTGTGTGTGTGTGTCTGTGTAAGATGCTATAACAGGCTAATTTTACTTGTTAGGTAAGTTATATTCCCCTGCAAACAACTGAAATGAAAATCATTTCTTTGTTGATTCCTGGAATTGTATTAACTTTTGACAAGTTTGTTAGTTCCTTGAAGTCCACTTTGTCAATGCAAATAGACTTTGGAGGGGAGCACTCTACTTGGCCTAACACTGAAATCTGAGTCTGTCTTCTCTCTTTCTTCAAAAACTTGAGAGTTGAGTCAATCTGAAAGCTCAGATTCTTGAAGGGACCTGGAGACACTTAAGGGGGAAGAGGTACAGAGAGGAGAACAGGGATATCCATAGATAAGTTTAATTTCCATTTATAATTTAGCACTAGAAACATAATTTGGTTGTTTACAGCCTTTAATAACACACCTTAAAAAAAAAACTCTGTTTCATCATCATAGTTTCAAAAGCCCATTTTTTCTCTCAAAATCTACATATAAGTTTTATTTTATATTATTTGTTTCAATATCAGGTTAAGTTTTAAGGACATAAAAATAATATTATAGTAATATTTGGAAGAAAATTTGATTAAGAAATATTAGTTATGAACAAAATGCAATTTCTTAAGGAGACCAATTACAGGTCTTACCAGTTGAGGAAAACTACCTGGAAAAATGTCATTTTGGCCTTTTAAAAAATATGTTCAAGTGCATGTAATTTTCTTGTTATTAAAGTTGAATAGCAATAGATGCCTAACCAGTACAAAGGCTTCCCTTTTGCCTTGCAAACATTTGAAGCAAACCTGTTTCAGACTAAATCCTCTCCTATGAAGAGGTAAAGCTTAGTTTAACAAAGTATGAACTTAATTGGGCCCAGTTTTCTCATGTGTAAATTGAGGAGTATGGAGTAAAAAGTCAATAAATTTATTTATCTTGAAGACATTTTACAGATGCTTCTGATGAACATTTATTGTCATGGAAAGTAAGACAATTTGTCCTTAATAGCACTTATCACAAAGGTTTTGAAAACTTTTTCAGCTTAAGCATACTCTGCTATATTAACAATTACCATTAAAATTAACATTTACTATGGTGCAACGAAAAGGGTAATCTTCATGTTTTCCAGCTCATATAATAGCTTATATACATATATATATACATACACACACGTACATACACACACAAACACACATATACATAGCTCATATATATATATATATATATATATATATATATATATATATGCTATTATATGAGCTGGAAAACATGAAATATATATATAGCACAAAGAATTAATAAAACCTGTTATATAATATTTGGGATTTAGCAACCAGAATTGACCCAACATTTCTATTTTGGGGAGTTTGTCCTATGGCTATATTAACACACATACAGAAGATTCTATAATGCACTTATGGATGTTATAGCCAAAAACTGGAAATGAATTAAAGATTTATTAAAATGCAATGCCTTAATAAGGATATAATGAGGTAGATCTATTAATGCAGCATGTGCTAATGTATAAAAACCTCATGACACATCACTAAGTGAGAAACACAAGGTGAAAACACACAACTACATTGCAATCCATTTTGTAAATAAAAATAATTTGAAAAATTTTTACACATACATGACAGATATATGCCTATATGCTCCATCTACATACAATATTTTACTGAACAGCTATGCAGTTAGCAGTAGCTCCCCAAATTCACACAAATTGCCTTTGGGGAAAGTTAATGTGACTGGATGGTTTTCTCTACGTTTATTAAGAGTTTTGGCCAGGTGCAGTGGCTCACACCTGTACTCTCAGCACTTTGGGAGGCCGACGTGGGCCGATCATGAGGTCAGGAAATCGAGACCATCCTGGCTAACACGGTGAAACCCCGTCTCTACTAAAAAGACAAAAAATTAGCCAGGTGTGGTGGCGGGCACCTGTAGTCCCAGCTACTTGGGAGGCTGAGGCAGGAGAATGGCGTGAACCTGGGAGGCAGAGCTTGCAGTGAGCCGAGATCACACCACTGCACTCCATCCAGCCTGGACAACAAAGCAAGATTCCATCTCAAAAAAAAAAAAAAAAAAAGAGTTGTAAATAAAATTTGTGTCTTACTTATGGTTTGAGGCCAGTGTAACCTTTATAACAGTGTCAGAAAAAGAGAGAAAAAGAAATTGAACTGTAGGTCAGTTTATAGATACAAAAATCCCAAATAAAATTTTATTTTGTTTAAATTTTATAAGTAAAATTTAATCCAAACTAAAAATGTGCTAAAAATGATATGCCATCCCAAGTAGGGATTTTACTAGATATAAAAGGATAATGACAAAAGGATATTGATCGAATACTCAATCTAATCCATCACATTCATTGTATAAAAGAAAAAAAATAATGTGATTATCTCAATAGATGCAGAAATAATAACTGATAAAGATTAGTCACTATTGATGTTACAAATAAAAACTTCATAAAGATAGTAATGGAAGGGAAGATAATTCTTTGTGGTAGCAAAGAATTGAAAGCAACCAAATTATGCGTTAATAATGTTGTGATCTGTGCAAGCCAAACACAAGGAACCAAAATTTATATACAGGAAAATAGGCAAGCATGAAAGGGATGTACACCATAAGACTTCTTATGTGAAAATAACACATAAACAGCAGCATGTATTTTGCTAGGCCAAATACATACATTTCTATGTCAGATGATTACAAGGACCAAAAGTAAATACATTAAAGAGGTCCCCATGGGCAAAATCAGATTAACACTGAGATGGGTTAAAAGAGGGAAAAACTAACCTAAACTAAACAAAAAAGGAGCTTTGTCTTAACCAATGATGATATAATGTCATGAACTGACAAGTATGATCAGAGAGATTCTATGAAGTAGCATATATTATATAATCAGCATGGTCTCTACTATATAACCAACAAAAACAAAATCTATTTGTTTTTGGACTAAGTGTGGAGTAAATAGAAAAGGTAAGGGCATAGCAAAGGGGCCATGCACAGAAGCCCAAATTCCTGTTCTACTACTTACCTCTTCTGTAACTTCAAGATAATCACTTAGCACACCACAGCTTGGATTCCTTAATCTGCAAAATGGGACAATCCTATTTACCTCCCTTGGTTTTGTGTAGAATCAATGTGATAATACATGCCTGGAGAAAAGCATAAAGCCCCAGCATACAGTAGGTGTTCTAACAAATATGTGCTCTCTCCATCCCTGCACTCCCAGGTCCACTATACAGGCCCCTCATAGTTAATAGTCTTCCTGTGGGAAGGAATTCATAGGAAAGACTGCAGCTACTCCTACACATATTATAACCCTTACACTTACTGAACTTTTCAGACAATCTTGCATTTTTCAGGCCTATCTTAAATTACAGAACATATGATAATGCTACTTATGATCCCTAATAGGGCTAATCAAAAAGGGGAAAAAGGCAGAAATATTATATGCAAAGAATTACAGATTAGCTTGTTCAGTCTGCACAAACTTGTAAGTAAGAAACAATTGGTTGTGCCATAACAAGAACCCAATAAATGTTGACATAATTTCACTTCAGTTTTACAGACTTAGTTATTACATTATCATCTCTATATTTTTTATAATTAATAGGACTGCTATTTTCTTTCATAATTGGTGCATTTATTGAGATATTTCCCACTGTTAGACTGATGTGTTTCATCCTCTATACGTTTGCCCTGCTGTGTCCCCACAGTTATGATGCTCCAAATTTATAGAGTTTAGATGTTTCTTGCTGTTGGTTTACATTCCTATTCACTATTTATTCATAAAATAAGGCGGAGAGGGTTCTATGTTGAAATGAACTTTTACACAGAAAATTAGCAATCATGTTCTCAGAACAACTACTTAGTTTTTGATACCATTCACAGATTCTAACTTCGCATATGTAATACTGCCTAATGTCACAAATGGGTCTCATTTCTACAAAACGTTAACTATATGAGAAAGTTGAAGGAATGGCTCATCAGAAGACAATTCAGGTTTATAAAGCTTAAGTGATATTCCAGTCCTATGACAGTCTGTGTTTATTAAGGAGTAAGAATATTGCATTCCACTATTGAGACTCTGATGAGTATCATGGCTTTAGCACAGGGTATAACAAATCAAGGTTCTTTTGTTTTTTTAATTATGGCGAAGATGCAATGAGAATTACGATTTGACTAAGTTGGACTGTGACTGCTACAACCATTACATGGTGCCCAGTGTGCCTTAGAAAATAGAGGTGTCATGAATTTATTTTCTCTTTCAATGCCTGATGGGAAAACGTGCTACTCAGCTAAAGAACTGCAGTAGGAATAATGATCATTCAAGATGTCTTCAAACTGAGCTACAGATATTTAATTTAAAAGCACATTGCCTGTTTTGAGAGTCAGTATTTCCTTCTGAAAAGAAATATCATTAAAGCATAGTGATGTTAGGAACTTAGGGATTTTAAAATCATCATTTTCCTTGAAAACCTGGCTGAATAAAATATTGAATCTTGGTATGGAGCATCAAGTCCTTTTACAATGTTTTTCTCTGAACAGAGAGTTTATTATCATCCCCCCTGAGGGCAGGCAGGAAGAATAAAGCCAACATTCTGCTTTACTTTGTTGGATCTGATGAGATCTTGCTAGCTTCCTAGATCTCACTTTGGGATGTAAAATGGTACTTCCGGACTACCCACTAATCTCAGTTTGTTGTTATTTTTGGTTAGTTGGTTGGTTTTGTTTTTCTCCTCTCACTGCTTAGATTTTTATATGTCTTAATTATAGTTGTGAACACAGATGAAAATAGTATAATTTAAATCGACTTAAGTGTCTTGCTTTTATAACAGTGATGCTTGATTTTTGTGTTTGTTTTCCATTGTTCTAATTTTCTTTTAGGGCCCTTCTTTTACCTGGTAGCCAGGTATGACAAAACATCATATTTGATCTATAATACAACACTATTAGAACTAGAAGGACCCTACACACCTCGTCAAAGTCCTTCATTTCACAGACGAGGGCCAGCACCCAGAGAAGGGAAATGACTTGCGTAGGCCACTGCGGCTACTTAGTGGCAGACTCACGTTCAGAAATCTTTGTCTTGCTAAAGGGTTCTTGCTACAACTCTTGCTAAAGATTTCTTTTTCCTCCACATCAAACTTCCTTTGTTCTATTCTCAACTTATATAATGACGTTTGAACAGATCTAGCAACAAACTCTTTATGTGGACTTCCCTGACTTGCTGGTTGATGACTTCAAATGTTTGACAGTGCACATGACAATATAATTTATCCTATGACTGCAAAGATGACATCTTGTGAATACTGCTTGATTCCTCCACAAAATCATCCCTGAAAGGCTTGTAGGTGTCTATAGATCCACAGATTCCATAGTGTTCCTTTGAAATAACTGAAAATGTCATTCTCGCTGTTAGTTAAAGACAAATGCCAGATATGGTAACACAGTTATAAGTGCTAATTATGTTATTAATAATTTTATCCTTTTTTCCTCTCACCACTGTGCTGTTTCTCACATGCTGATCTGTCCATCCTGTTTTGCTATTCTAGGTTTGTGTGCTGGAGAGGCAAATATTTGACTTCCTTGGATATCAGTGGGCACCTATCCTGGCAAATTTTGTACATATTATTATCGTCATTCTTGGTTTGTTTGGAACTATTCAATATAGACCTCGTTACATAACAGGAGTAAGTACATTTTCTGCCTTTTAAAAATCTTATTGAACTAGAGAATGATGTGCAAACTCCAAATGCCTTGAAAACTTATGTGTATAATCTATCTTAAAGATGTGGATACTCTCTTTTAAGTACCATGTGTTTATTTTCATAGTTTCAGATTCCATCAACAGTAATTGAAAATGTCAGGTTTAAGGCACTTGATAGTGAGTGTGATCAGACTGAATTCTCATAATTTGTACTTTCAGCGAATAGTCTCATAATTACAAGCCAAACTGTGTTTCTATGTTTCTACATTATAAAGTCATGCTTTCTGGTTTGACAGATTTTAATGGAAATTTTTTCTCATTTTAAATAATCATATTTTATACATTGAATAAAGAGTTTAAAATCAATAGGAATGAACATATACTATTGATGTGAAAATATTAACCACATTAGGGCTAATATTTGGCGTATGAGAAAGCCAGAATAATCTGGACAGTTGCCTCTGTGTTCTCCATAATTCTCTTTTTGGCTTGAAGGAAGTATTTTGCATTCCCACTCAAGTTAAACTTACTTAACATAAAAGTGAAATCCAACTGTGTTTCAGTTACTATGGGAACCATAACTCAGGGTTGCTTTTTTTTAAACTTTTGTATGTGCCTCAGATCTCAGCTACTGCTCTTCATTAATGTACATTTTTTTCTTTTTAGTTTCATCATTTTTTCTATTTCTTCTATTTTTGACAAAGGAAATGTCTATAGGCATTTATTTAAAATTGTAAAGCAGGTTTGTAGTAAAAGCATGTATATAAGATAGTACCGTGAAAGCTCTGCCTTGTTCAACACAAACCAGCAGCCCTTCTCATGTTTTATGAAAGCGTCCTCATTAAAGATGCCCCCCCATGACCTGTTCTCTCCATCATCTAGAACCCAGATAAAGCTCATTGGTACAGCCAGGCAATGTGGTGGTGGCTGGAACCAAGGAAGAATGAGAAGCCCACAGTCCTCGCCTCCAGGTGCATGCCCAGCCTCCAGTGCATGTCACTGCAGAGGCTAGGTAGCCATCTAAATCTTGTAAAAGTGGGAGGAGTTCTGTTGCAGGGTGAAGTTTTTTAATGCACAAGATATGATAGTATTGTCCATTTTCTTTTATGAATCGTAATTTGATACAGTGTAGGGCGGGTTGTACAGTGGTTGAGAGTGAGTCCTCTGAAGTCATAATATCAAGATTGGAATCTTCGATCTGCCAAATTCTGTGTGACTTTAGATAACTTCACCTCACCAATCTTTAATTTTCTTATCTTTAAAATGAAAGTAGTCATTACATTAACTCATAATGATTTAATTAATTGATATATATTAGCCATTATATGAAAAAAATTTAACTTACCATTCTTTTTTTATTAGACTTTGAGGTTCCTTCATGGTTTTATTCTTATAAATAATGGTTGCTCTGAATATCATTATGTAAATATTTCATCTTTATTTCTGATAAAGTTCTTGGGATAAAATCTAGATGTGACCCAAAATATTTGAACTATTTAAAAACTCAGAGGTTAATTTTGAGGACTAAAGGGGATGTTCTATGAAAAGTCCCTAGCACCGTGCTTGATATTTAAAAAGCCCCCAATAAATATTAGCTATAATATTTTTGTTTTTAATTATTATTATTTAAAAATAATACTAACCTGTGTAACATAGCAATAGGCTGAAAGGAAATTTAAAATAGAGCAAGGTGTTCTAGATGTTGGATGAACTATTTCTGTCCCTTTTATCCTAAGATGCTACAATGCAAAAAAAAAAAATTTGGGCTTTCTATGTATCAAATTATTATCTCATCCTTTTGAATAAAGACGTACCACAGATCTTTCACTACTGGCTACTTTCTCTGGCATGGGATAAGAGTTATGATGCCAAGGGAAAACACCTTTAACATTGTTAGAAGTTTTGTTTTCTGAGGCTATTAGACACAACCTGAACTCTTTTTAAGGTCTTAACAATGAATTTCAGAGCCTTGATTTCATCTTGACTGGTAACATCACTGTGCATTTGGATTTTTCCCTGAGACAATGTCTTTGGAAATCTTTTGCCGGCTGGAGATGATGTAAATGATAAACTTTTTTTTCCAACTCAGCAAGTCCTGGGTTAGAAATATATCCTCTAAATTCTGCTTGAAAATCTTTCTTTAGCTCATTTCTCTCTTACAATATCATGCTGTCTGTGGCTAAAAGATAACAAATAGCACTGTCATCTTTTTTTTGCTTGGAAATCCCCTTAACCAGACCCATAAACTCATAGGCATATTTTCTATCTTTCCAGTTATTGAAGACAATAGCTAAGATAATTGTTCTGGCAGTAAATTCCATGAGTCTTCTTTTCTCCAGTCCTCAAAAACAATTTCCTCTCTCCACTCAGAGTCTCCTTGCTGCCCTCCTGGTGTCATTTGCCTCCTTATCTCAAAACCAGTACTGTGTGTTTTAGGTTTAAGTATCACTGACTTTCTGGTACCAATATCTGTTCAGGTATCTATGTCTGTGTAACTTCTGTGCAACAAACTACAGTTGACCCTTGAACAGTGTGAGGATTAAGGGCACCAAACCCCCCACACAGCCAAAAATCTGCTTATAACTTTCTACTCCTCAAAAACTTAACTCCAATAGCCTACTATTGGTTGAAAACCTTACTGATAAACAGTTGATTAACACATATTTAATATGTTTTATGTGTTATATGCTGTATTCTTGCAATAGTGCAAGCTAAAGAAAAGAAAATGTTATTAAAGGAAATCATAAGGAAAATATATTTATTATTGATTAAATGGAAAAGGATCATTGTAAAGGTCTTCATCCTCTAGCAATGTAGACCTTTATAATTTTTATATTTGCCATATTTTCTCTGTAATATTTTTACATTATAAAATAGCTTGACATAAAATATAAAATAATTTGATACAAAAATAAGAAAGCATTTCTCGACTTCATGACTGAAGATTAACATTTTGCGTATTTCCTTTGTGTACATACAAATGAAACATGTCTGTGTATGCTATATATCCAAGTATGTCTTAATTTTAAATTGAACATTATATCAAACAATTTAAAAATTAACATGACTATTTCATTGTTTCTTTAAGCCTTTAATGTTATACATTATGCTATTTTCATATTTTTCTATTATATTAAATAATTCCCTATAATCATTTCCAACAAAAATACTCTCGTCTTTTTTTGTGAATCATTCCTTAGGAGAAATACCTAGGTATAATCAAATAATATGAACAATTTTAAGGCTTTTACTATATAATTAATAATAACCTATCCAAAATTATTTTACTGAATTATCCTCTTACCAGTGTACAGCAGAGTTGATTTCACTGCACTCTTGCTAACCCTGTGTATTATCTGTTCTCATAGTTGTTAATTTGATAGAAGAAAAAATGTTATTTTCATTTTTAATTGTATTTCTAATCGTAGTGAGTTAGAATTTTTCGTATGTTCATTACCCATTTTTGTTTTCTGTTTGGAAAATTGTGTGTGTGTGTGTGTGTGTGTGTGTGTGTGCGCGCGCGTGTGTGTGTGTGTGTGTGAGATAAGTTTCGTTCTTGCTGCCCAGGCTGGAGTGCAATGGTACGGTCTCCGCTCACTGCAAACTCCACCTCCCAGGTTCAAGCAATTCTCCTGCCTCAGCCTCCCAAGTAGCTGGGACTACAGGCGTGTGCCATCATGCCCGGCTCATTTTTGTATTTTTTCAGTAGAGACGAGGTTTCACCATGTTAGCCAGGCTGGTCTCGAACTCCTGACCTCATGATCCGCCCACCTTGGCCTCCCAAAGTGCTGAGATTACAGGTGTAAGCCATTGTGCCCGGCCAGGGATTTGTCTTTTGGTCTTCTTTGCTAATTTTTTACCCTGCAGTCTTAGTGTTTATCTTAATTTATGTAGATAATTTAATAAAGACATTTACCTTTAAAACATCATAAAGCTTCCTTTTGATACTTAGTATGTCTATCTTATTACAGTTAACTCTCTTTCAACTTGTGATATTTTCTGCTGCTTTTAAGATTATGAAATTCAAATACCATTTTGAAAAAGATAAGTCTTCATTATCCTTATGTCTAATTTTACCAAAACAAAAAGGCAGGTTTTCTGATATTGAGACTGAGGGCATTTGCTATATTTGAAGAGCTTCAAATTATTGATGGGACATTTTATTTAATTGATCTTGCCTCCCACACAAAAAAGTATGTGGACATTCTTCAAACCATTGAGCTTGTAGCAACAAATAAATGAGAGTATTGGTAATGATTTTTGTTTTCTTCATTCATCTTCTTTTTCATAGTAGCAAAGAAAAAAAGATTAAAAACTTAAAACAGATAATTGGAACAAGAACTCATTAGTGCCATAGAGAGCTTCTGTCACTTTGCAGAATATAGTATGCTGAAGGAAAATGAAATAGATGTTTTCAGGTCCAAGCAAAGGAAACCTGAAGCCAGAATTCATAGAAAGAATCAATCTTGTATCTCAATCACATCAAATCCCAGAAAATAATTCATAAATAAATATATACAATGGCTCCCAGGAAAGCATTATTTTACATCATAAATGGAATTATATAATGCATCATCATTTGGGGAAGTAGAATGTGATCTGAGATATCCAGTGTTTATAAGTTAATGATAAAATAATGTTAAGGAGCTGCACTGGCGCTAAGGAGCTGCTTTAGATTATCTAAAATAATCTGAGGAATATGTAGGTTCCTATCCATTAAAGCCATAGCAACTTTCTCAGTGATATTGCCAAAAACAAATGTTGCTGTGTAACATGCCAAAAATAAATTATTTCTCCCCCCCTCTCCCTTTCTTCCTTCCTTCTTTCCTTTCTTCCAAACTCAGTCTCCAAACTAGAAAAAAAAAGTTTCAAAATAGCTGAAAATCTATTACTCAGATTTTATAGAGGATAGTATACTAAAATAACAGTAATATTTGTAAGAATAATTTCTTGTTTCTTACCAATTCCATCACTGATTCTCCTGTATATCTACCTTTCTTCATAAATTCTATAACCCTCACATTAACTTGACACAACTTTTGTTCAAACTCATATGGAAAGGAAATAGTAGAGTTAGGAGGTTGACACAGGTTCTCCTGACAACCAGTCTGTCCTTGTAACCACCACAGTGAACTGCCTCTTAGAGGCACAGTTCAGAGACCCAAATCTGTCTGATAAATGAACAAAGGTGCTGTTAAGTTGTGGGCAAATTTAAAATTCATTACAGCATTTGTGATTTCCAGAGGATTTAGATTTTAAGTTGTGGTCTGCCTCTCCCATATCAAGGATTATGTTTTTAACTCCTTAGTTAATGGAGAAATAACCTCATGTTTCAAGAGTTTAGAACAGAAAACTCTTAGTGATGGATATTTTATTCATGCGGGAAAACAATAACACAAACTATCTTTAATCTCTAGTAACAGTGAATTAGAATGGCATGTTATTCTTTTTCTATAGCACCCAGCTTTTTGATGGTGATTTTACATATATGCATATGTACACATTCATCTATACAATATAAGTTATATCTAATATCCATTATAATTATATGTTAAATAAGGACAAATGATCTATTTCTACATTTGCTATTTGTAAAGAGTTTCAAATAATTGATGGGAGAATTTATTTCTATGTAATTGAATAAAATACTCAAAACATATTGGAAATACAAAAGACCTAGGAAACACCAATATAGACATACATACATACATATCATTATGCCTAATGAAGAATCTTTCTATGACACCAAGTTAGACTACAATAACTAATTCTAAAATCAAATGAAGGAGAAATATTGGGATTGGTTTCCTGTTTTGTTACTGAAAAAGCAAGAGATGAAATTAATGTGTTTAAAGCTGATTTGATGAAGCAAGTCATCAAATGATGGTTAGAAAGAGAAGCCAATACACATGAATCTTCATTTCTTGTGTTCTAAGAATTGTAAACTCTAAGACTGTCATAATAACCCTGCTTACTCTTCCAAAATAATAAAAAAGTAAATATTTCTTTTAGTCTGCATTTTAAAGTTTTGAATGGTATTTTCTGATTAATGCTGAACACTGAACTTCTGTTCACCAATTTAGGCCACTTTTTGTTTTACTACATTTTTTTTAACGTGATACATATGGTAGTTGGTGGCTGTTGGTTTCTAGATTGATGTACATCCTCCTTCTCCCCAGTGAGGCAAGGTCAGCTTCAGACAAAGTGTCACCTGCTTTGACTTCCTTAACTTTGCTTTTTCTAGAGCCAACATGGTAAAGGATCCCCATGGCATCCTGGCCAAAGCATGGGGCCACAGGGTGACTGGAGCACCAGAGACAAAGACAGGATTCATTTTGTAAAAAGATTACGACACAGCAACTTGAGAAATCTATAGACACCTTAGTGGTTCTGTATAAGTAAAGAATCGCATACTCAATTTGCATGGGGGAAAAATCCTCTAAATTTCTAGAATTTACTATTTGCTGATAATTGCCGTGATTTGATTTTTAATTGTCCATGGAGCTCAGGTCTCCATAGAGACTATCACCAACAACAATAAATCAGGAGCACTGTCTCCATTTTCCAGGTCATATGTTTTTCTAAAACTAATAAATGTTACCTCCCTAAAAATTTTTGCACTCCTACAAGTCATTTCTAAGAAGTCATTAATCTATGTTCAAGTAGTTGTTTTGCCACCTTTATTCAATTTTTCTAGGAGAAAAAAATATCTGAAAGGAAACTTATTGCAGCTAAAGCATTAACAAATGCATGCTTTCTGTGTTGAGGACAGAAAATCAATGTAGATTAGAGATGAAGAGACTTGAGATACTAGTAAATTAACAATACTTCTAATGACTTTAGAGTAGTTGTGAAAATAAGTCTTTTCCCATAAGCCTGGAAGGGAGGGAGAAAACAAAAAAAAACATCATTACAAGTTTAATGGATTTAGCCTGTAGTCCTAAAATAAATGTAATAATGCAACATTGCAAATGCAATTTATTCTCAAAAGAATGTGTTCCCTTGGGGAAATGTGGACCATTTATTCTACAAGAAGATACTTTGTGCCCTCATTTTGGTGTTAGACTATGACTAAAGATTTATAGGATGTGGTACATATAAATAATTACATTTGACAGTCTAGATTCACTTTTTTAAATCATCTAATAATTTTTGAAAATGAATTTTGAAGAAAAGATATATTGTGATATGTTTAAGTATTAGTTTCTTTTTCTAAAATAAAAAAATCAGATTATGTAGTTTTTTTAATCAAAAAGTAAAATTGGGCTTATAATAAAATAAAACTTCCTTTCCATACTCTTCTCCAGCTGTTCCTCATCTCTTTATAGTTCTTCTGGGGTTACCTCAGAAATGTGTGTGTGTGTGTGTGTGTGTGTGTGTGTGTGTGTGTGTGCGTCTGTGTTGCTAATTGTTGATTTTTCAGCTTTAGACAGTGTCTAATAACGACCTGCCCCAAATCATTTGGTCTAATTTGTTTTTGAATTATACGTTGTTTTTACAGGTTTTCTTTCCCCTCTGAAGTTTCTGATTGCTTTTTTTTTTTTTGTAAGAAACAAAACAGGCCTTGCTTAAGTGTATCCTAAATACATTTCCAATTCATGTGCATTCTATTGCTTGATATTCATTCTGTTTTAATTCTTGAAATCCACTGCTTTACTATTTGAATTATCCAGTCCGTTTATATTTGACCATCACTATCTGTAGCTTTTTGTTTTTAATGCAATGTTCTTCTTCCCTGGAGATTTCTCTTAGTACTCTTGTCATTTTACTCCGATGTCAACTGTTTGTTCTCAAGCCCTATTATACATCTATCTCTCCCTTCTTCTGATTTGATTCATGCTTTCTTAAATTCCATCTATTATCTCTTTGATATTCTACAAACAACTTCCTGAAAAGCATGTTTGTGAGAGAAACTTTCTGAGTTTTATCTGTCTCATGACAGAGAATGACTTTATTCTACCTTTACACTTGAGTACTAGTTTGGCCAGGTGCAGAATTCAGGGTTGAAAATCATTTTTTTCTTAGAACACTGAAGTAATTGTTCACAATCTAAGAAGCAGTGTTACTGATGGCCAGTCTGATATCAATCTGTAAATAACTTTCAAAGAACTGCTTGAGATATTCATTTTATTATTGTTTTGGCATTTCAAAATGGCGTGTCTAAATGTGAACCTATTTAAAAATTGTGTAGTCTTTTTTTTATTATTTAAACACTTATAGAAGACTTTGTTGTGGCTCAGAAAATCATATTCAATGTATGGCAATTTTGAATGAAAAGAGTAGCCTCAAGGTCTCTCTGACCTTCCTTCATCCTCTGTCTCTAGATCCTCTCTTTCCCAAAGCACCAGGAGTCCCTTTCTCTGAAGTTCACTTGTCTAACTGAGGTAAGTTCTTCCAAAAGAAATGCAATTGTCTTGAAACCCCTCCGCAGGAATCTCATCAAGCAGCCAGGGAAGATTAATCACTGGAGAGGAGATTAAATGTCATCCGCATACCCAGACAGCCTATCACTTATTCTTCTGGAGGCTGCTCTGAGAAGCTTTATCTGCATAATACGACAACCTTTGTTCATCTTGTGGTTCTTCCTTTTTTCTCTCCCTTAACTTTTCTCCACCTCCCCTGAAAGCCCTCAAGCCCCTATTCCTTTATGGTATAAAAACTCAACCATCTGGCTCCTCCTTTGAGTTTTATATTTTCTGTGAGTCTCATGAGCTTAAATAATGAGTATGCCTTGTCTCCTGTTTATCTATTGTCAGTTTATTTCAGCAGACTCAGTTGTCAAACCTTCAG
Organism: Homo sapiens; assembly: GCF_000001405.40. Lineage (NCBI taxonomy): Eukaryota > Metazoa > Chordata > Mammalia > Primates > Hominidae > Homo > Homo sapiens. The sequence goes on from NC_000006.12 coordinate 124,291,950, forward strand.
AGGGAAAGTTTGAACCTCCCTACACCTTCAATTCTGGAATTTGCATGCATCATTTTGATGATTCTTGATGCTTTTCAACATTTGCCTTTGCTATGCTATCCCCAGGTAATTTCATTTAACAGTTATTTTATATTATAGTTTTTAATTTATTTATGAAAAATCTCCTTGTTTTCCCCAGAGAAATAAACTCCTGGCTGATTCTAAAAGTGGTAGAGGGTTATTGCTGTTTTCCAGCCCACTTTACACACTGACCTTTGGTCATATGTTTCTTACCCAAGTCTCCAGAGCATGCAAAATTCTCCCTAGCAGTCCAGCATTTTTTTGTCTCTTTCTCCTCCATACATATTATAGACTGGCAATTGCTTCATTCTGCTTATTAATCAATATCCATCTCTTTGTCTTCCTCTTCAGGCAATTGGTTGAAATCTCTTTGTTGCTAATGTTTTATTACTAATAGTTGTAGGACTATATTTGTTGTATGCTCAGTTTGCCTTTTTGAACCAAAAGTGTAACAATAACTATTAGATTGCATTAAGTATGTTTTACTTTGGTGTAATTTCCTTTTTAACAATGAGAGCTGAGCAGATGACTTTTTTTTTTTTTTGAGACAGAGTGAGACTCTATGGGGAAGGCAACCCCATAGGTTTCAGCCTCATTTTACCCAGCTCCTGTTCAAGATGGATTTGCTCTGGTTTAAAGGCCTTTTACATTGATACATTGATACTTATCAAAAGTTCAATTAAGAAAAATGATATTTATGGAGAATTGCTTACAAGATAAGAGGTTCATGCATTCTGCCAGACCCTAATGTATCCTAGGCAGACTCTCATCCCTATACTGTGTCAGTTTAATGTTGGCAGTGTGTTTTAATTTATTTTTTTACTACTGTAATGTATTTTATTAATGTTATTAAACTACATTGACTGATTTTATAAGAAACACACTCATGACACTTATTTATTTATTAGGAAGATTTAGTTGAAAGTATTGCTTTAAATAGGTGCACAAGAAAAACAATCTACCCCTTGTCTCAATCCTGAAACTAGTGATACTTTCCTTGTGCATTAGGTTGATCTAATGGCAATAGCAAAAATCTCAGTCAACTTCCTGAATTTAAATGAGAAGACTTTTTAGCAGTCTGCTTACTGTGTTATAGCTATTAGTATTCAGTAAATGGTCTTTACTATATTTAAGTAGTTTCCTTCAATTATTAAGAATAGCTAATAATATTTTATTACATATCTTTGAAGCTGTATGCTAATATCTCTTTAAAATTTTTGGATGCATTGAATTAGATTAATAAGTGTTCTGATATTAATTTAACTTTCCATTACTAGACTATACCTTATTTGTTTGTAATATGTTATTCTTTTTTTTGATTGCTATATTCAACTTTTACTATTTTTAATTACTTTTTTGCATCCTTATTAAAAATGCAATTAATTTATAGCTTTTTACTTGTAATATTTTTAAAATTATGCGGCCTTAAGAAAATAAATTGGGGAAACTTTTTTCTGTGGTATAGAATAATTCAAATAGGATTGGAACTACAAATGTTCTTAGAACTAATCTATGAAACCATCTAGTCCTGATACTTTCATGAATGGTAGCTATCTAATTATCTTTCCAATCTTTTCTACAATAATTGATCTTTTCAAATTTTCCACTTCTTGAATGATTTTGGTGATATAAATTTCATCAGAGCATATATTTTCTAGAGCATTTGTTTCATGTTATTGTCATAGTTTTATTTCAAATTCTATTGCTCTTTTTAGAATTTCTTTGATATTACTGGGTTGGTCTTTTTTCTGCATACCCTTTTTTGCTCATTTCATGTATTAATATCTCGTAAGAGAAAAGTGACGACAGATAATATCAAAACACCTCATTTCTGCTTTTTTCTATTTTCTCTCATTCCAAGATAATGGGAAGAGGCAAGTAGGCACCATTTCCAGGATATTTGCTAATTTTTATGGCAATGAGTGTAGCAAACTGATAATGTGAATCAATGAATTGTTTTTAGTTTAGAGTTTCTTAGTATAATGTCTTAGTCTTTTTTGTGTTGCTATAGCACACTACCTGAGATTGGATGATTTGCTTATTTATTTATTTTAAAAAATGTTTATTTTAGCTCAACGTACTAGAGGCTGGGAAGTCCATGATAGGGTGGCTGTGTCTGGTTAGCTACTGGTGAGAACCCAGTTCTGTGTCATAAATGGCGGAGAAGTAGAAGGGGAACTGGGAGCATGTGAGAGGAGCAAAATAGGAGGGGCAGCCTCACTTTATAACAATCTGCTCTAGTAGTAACTCATCCAGTACCCAGCGAGTGAGAACTTACTTATTCCCTTGAGAATTAACCCAGTTCCGTAAGAGCAGCATTGATCCCTCTCAATGACCTAATCACCTTGGATAGACCCAACCTACCAATATCCATTCATAGCACACAGTCTGTTTGTCAAATAATAATTATAAACAATTATTTTTAAAGGTTTTGACTGCAAAAGGGTTTCAGCTTCATGTTAATTCTGAAATTGATTAAAGACTTTCATTGACCACACCAGCAAAACTGACACTGCATAAAGAAAGTCTTTGGTAGCTGTAATTACTACAAAACCCCTTTTGTATAATATTCTTTATAGTATTTATTTCCAAATAAATCTTTCCTTGCAAGTATATAAGCAATACTCTGAAGCTGACCCTTCAGAGGTTTTATGAATTGTTTTATTTGCCAGATGCTTTGTGATTGCCCAGCTGACTCTTTAAGGAAATAGTTGTCATTTTCCTGGTCATCTCTGTGTTGTATTTGTAGATGTCTTGTCAGTGGTTTTTGGAAATGTTGACTCATCTGGGAACTCCATGCCCAGTAAGATGTTATCTACACCCCACAGCTAAACTTCTGTTTGACTAGACCTGTCATTTTCTGAAACACAGCGGAATCCATTTTTTTCTTCATATTTTTTTCTTTTAAAGATACCAGTTATGTTTATGGAATTTTGTAAAAGAAATGTTTGGCTGCAAGTATTAAGCTCATTTTATCTACAATTCATTTTTATGGGAGTGTCATGCACTTAAAATTTAATATGTGTGTACACAAAGATTTCCCTTGGAAGTGAAGCGACTACCATATTATAGTACAGTAAAATTGGAATTATGAGATGTCTTATTTTAATTCTCTTCTTGTTTTGAAAGGTTAGTGTTTGATGGGGAGTTTCTGTGCTTACATTTACACTTAAAGTTACATTTTCAGAGTAGTTTGTACCTAAGAATTTATCATGGAGCAAAACTATAATTTGGCATAGTTTTCATTCTATCTTCTAAAACCTTTGTGTCGTTTTCCTTCTCCTTGTTCTTTTCTTCTTCTTACTATTATCATTCTATTTTTCTTCTTTTAATGCAATAAATTTAGTCAAAGGCATGAGAAGCTCTGTGAACACGTTGAGAGGTTTGTAGCATAGTGTTGTTTAGCTGACAATTTAGTAAAACTAAGACAAACAGCCCCATAGCTGCAGGTTAGTCTAGAATAATGGCTTGAACCTGCTTTTTATTATTGCTTATTTATATCATATAGAATAAATGCTGACACTGGCTGCTGTGAGGAGAAGAAACTCACCGATTAGGAAGGAGATTAAAAAACATAAGCCAGTTTGCAAAATCCTAATTTTATTTAAGGAGAAATTAGTATCATTTGTAATCTCTGCTATGCCCTACTACTATTGATGCATTAGGGTTGAAAGTGAATGGATTTCAATAAGCCAGACAGAACATTTCTTTCAGATATCGGATATCAAAACAATTCTCAGGGCACAATATAATTGTTTTCTGAACTAAAACATCTATAATGCTCCTGGAAATGTTTTCAAAAATTGTATTTCTTTTAACCAACTCAACTTCCCAATCTGAACTCCCCTTTACTCTTCTCCATAAAATACTAAAAATAAATGAGACTTCAGGGAACATATGCCAATTTGTCAATCTGGTGATACCTTTTTTCTTGTAACCATTGCTACATCCTTCATTATAGTAAAAAAGACTATCTCAATGAATAACATCACTGTTTATGTATAAAGAACAGCATAATTCTATTTTTAAAATTATAAATTTAAAAAATTGTAACTCTTCTCTTTTCTTTAAATAATGTATAATTCCTCCACAATTGCATTCTCTTTCACATTCACCACCTTGGATGCAAATTTCTTCATGGTTAAGCCTCTACTCAGCTTTCACTTCTCCTTGTATATTAGAGTATAATGAACACAGTTTTTCTATGCTAGTTTGCTTTGAGTTATAATAGGATATGTACAGAATAAAAGTATAAAATTGAGGTTTATAAAGCAAGAAATGATGGCCTAAATGGAGTTGCTAGAGGAAAAAATTCTCAGTTATGTTTTATTTCAAAACATCTTTGATGACCTTATTCGATAGTTATGGAAATTATTTTACATAACTGCTTCTAATATTTTCCCCATCTTATCATTTTATGTAGCTAGGTATATGCAAATAAATGTCCAAGCAGAAATCATTATAATTTCATTTACAAGAATGTTTATGAGTTCAGATATTCTTTTGAAACATGCAATAATTTCATAAAATGAGGTATGTAAAACTTATATACTTAAAGATTGCATTGAAAACCAGATTATAGATGTTGGAGAATGGTGTACAAAACATTCTTGAAAGATAAAAGAACATAGACTCCATACAAGGAACCACATCAAAATTCCTATTATTTCCATGTTTTCAAGTGTGATCTGTGGATAAGTTATGGGGCAGTGAAGTAGTTTTAAATTAATTTCAAATTTTCCCAGAGATATTAGGAGCAATTAAAATCAAGGAAATAGGAATTGTTTAGGATAAAAGCATTCAATTAAGACCCAGAACCTTTACTGGGCTTCTTGATGTGCCTGCTTCTTTAGTGTTGTACATCACACACGGACACACATAAAAAAAGTAGTGCCTATTTAGGCACAAAGTCCTTCAGCATGTGTTTTGGACTAGATCAGTCAAACCAGCACTAAGACACTGAAGCAGCTTCCTTCTCTCAGATGCCTGTACAGTCTGCAGAACCATGAGCATTTTCTCTCTCATAAATGATACACAGCTTTCACTATACAACGATTAAAACCAGATAATAAGAATTACCATGATGACTAGTATGTCATAAAATTATGAAAACTGTTATACATACTGTTGATCCTTGAACAACATAGGGGTTAGGGATGCTGACCCACACACAGTCAAAAATCTGCATATAAGTTTTGACTCCCCCAAATCTTAACTACTAATAGTCTATTATTTATTGGAAGCCTTACTGATAACATAAACAATGGATTAATTAAAACATTTCATTTCTGATATGTGTTATATACTGTATTCTTACAACAAATCAAGCTAGAGAAAAGAAAATATTAAGAAAATAATAAGAACAGAAAACATATTTACTATTATGTAAAAGTGGATCATTATAAAGATCTTTATGTTCATCATCTTCATGTTGAGTAGGCTGAAGAAAAGAAGGGTTGGTCTTGGTGTCTCAGGAGTGGCAGAGGCAGAAAAGGTGGAAACTGGCCCCCCTGCCCCGTGTGGCTCTCAGGTGGGCTGCAGCACCATACTGCTCTTCCTTCCTCTCCCTGGATCATACCACCCTTCTAGTCAGTTCTGATGGAGAACCTGGTTACCTTGGTTGCTGGTGAAGGATTCACATGCTTATTATTGTTCTTTTCCTTGAGAGCCTCAGAACTGAGCTGTTTCCGAGTCGGCCATCTTGGCCCCGCCCCCTGTCAGTAATTTTTAAAGCCATGGCTTTCTCCGTGTTTTTATGTGGAACAAAATCGGGCATTTGGCAAGAAACCACCAGTTGTTCATAATTTAAATCATTTCTTCTCTAAAACCCTCAAAATTTCATAAGAAGTTGAGGTCCCAGAATCTGAGGCTAAAAACCTGACTCTATCAATGAAATGTGTTAATGCATCTGCTTTTATACAAGTCAGATAAACTCTTTACTTTGGTTTCTTCTTCACATCAGTTATCAGTTGTGAGTATGGAATGAAAGGTTAATATAAAATATTGAGCATGTGTCTTGCATAAGTAGACTCTCAAATGTTATCTATTATGTTAATAACTTTCACTTCTTTGTCTATTTCAACATGATCCTTGGCCATGTTTTACTGAAACTCAATAGCAATAACACCTCATCTAGGAGTCAAAATATTTCTGAACTAAGAGATAAAAAAAATTACTGAAATATTTTTCTGAATAGGGTTTCAATACTCTTTTAGCAGAACTTTTTTTTAATGTTTTTTATGTATTGCCTTCTCACAAATCTCTATAACCATGTTTTGTGTAGCAATATACCTGTTTTCTTCTTTATCTCTTTCTATTTTTAATGTTTCCATTATGATTTTCAACTTTCATGGTTCAGCAGAAAAAAGTCCACTACTTTTTCAAACCTTACTTGTTGTCATGATTCGAATTACTAGGAATGAAACATTTTCAATCTGACACTGAAAATCAAGATAAATATCATGTGTGGTGAGAAACTGCTGCGCTAAAGATGTTCCAAAATGTCCATTGTTCACTATTTCCATAATTTACCTGTCAACAGCTCTATTTATTTGGGATTATTTTTGTGGGTTATTGTCTACACTCAGGCATAGATGATAATGCCACACACATTCATCTGGGATAAACAGAACTATAAATAATATATAATTTTAAATATAGAATGATAAAGATCCCAGAAAAGCAGTTTCTTGCCTTCTGTGAACTCAGCAGATAATGCATGAATTGGTAATGCTTGGAAGGAGAGAAGACCCCCCGTGTCTATTATCAGTGGGGATGCTATCATTAAACCACTTTAGAACAGCACAGCAAATGGTTTCATGTAAGGGCTGCTACAGGACTTGAGTGAAGCCCTCAGAGAACAGTGTGATTTTAGCCTGCCTAGGGCTAATGATGTATCAAGGATCTCTCCACAGTAACCATGTGTGGCAGCTTGTGGATAGGCTTTGTCCTTAGTAAAGAAATAATCTTACATTTAATGACTAAGCATTTTAATCCACTTAAATGTTTTTAGATCAAATTGATTCTTGAGGCATGGGAATTCACTGCCCTGGCAGGCAGAAAGAGACACTGATGCTCTGTTACATCTGGAAAATGCCTGTAGGGAGTCTACTGCTACTCAGAGAATCCAAGGCTTCTTTCTGAAGGACAAGAAGAGAAAGAAGCAGCAGCCACAGCAGCAGAAACAGCAGCAGTGTAAGAGATATCAGAATATCAGTGCTTAGAAGACACATATGAGGAAACTGCAGAAACAAAATTGTAATAAACATAATTTCTAAAATTCACTTTGGAAATCACTTAGATTTATACGAATTGCCTATCACTTCTAATTTGGAGACTGAAACTGATAGAAACTCAGGACTTTTAGAATGTTACTGGACTCTAGAGTTTGTTTTTCCACTGAGATATATTTTTCCTACATTTTCTCCAAATCGGATCATTGCTCTAAATAGAAAAATGATTTTTTTTAAAGAGTGGTATTACCAAATGTAGCCTTTCCTTGACGATTCATGATGTAAATTGTTGTTATTGCAATAAGGAAGATAAAAACATTTATTTGACATGATAAAAAAATGTTGTTTCTATGTCTTAAAAATAACATCGTCATAGATATTAGTATGCATATATGCAAAATTCCATGATTTTTCTTCAAATTTTTCCCCTGAAGTATACATTACCCCTTCTTTTCTAGTTCTACTTCTGTTTTCTATTATCCTATATTTTTCTATTCTGAATAAGTACAAAAGTTAATTAGACTGAATTTAATTGTTCACTGAATGTTGCCTACGAAAATGTATGGAAATGTTCAATTTAAAAGTGTAACTTAACAATGAAGATTACAACAATGAAGTGTTGTACTTTGTCGAATAATCTATTTCACATTTCTTTCCCAGTATGTGCGATGTTTCACATTATTTCACATGGTAGAGAGGATTCAAAACTTGTTCTGTTGTTACTGTGTGTATGACTGGCATATCTCAAATCAGCTTTCCAGAGGCAGAGTTGGGTGACCCAGCATCACCTGGAAATGTCACCAACAAATGTTGGCAGGATGGTTGAGAGAGAGAATATTTAAAATTCTTTCCAACCCCCAATTCCTCTTTACATGGTTGATCTGTGTCCCCACCCAAATCTCATCTTGAATTGTAATAATCCCCATGTGTCAAGTGGGGGGGCCAGGTGGAGATAATTGAATCATGGAGGTCATTTCCCCTATACTGTCCTCATAGTAGTGAATAAGTCTCAAAGATTTCATGGTTTTAAAAATGGGAGTATTCCTGCACAAGCTGTCTCTTTGCCTGCTGCCACCCATGTAACACATGACTTGCTCCTCATTGTCTTCTGTCATGATTGTGAGACCTCCCCAGCCATGTGGAACTGTGAGTCAATTAAACCTCTTCCCAGTATTAATTACCCAGTCTCAGGTGTGTCTTTACTAGCAGCCTGACAATAGACTAATATAGTAAATTGGTACCAGTAAAGTGGGATGCTGCTGTAGAGATACCAGAAAATGTGGAAGTGACTTTGGAACAGGGTAACGGGCAGAGTTTGGAACAGTTCAGAAGTCTCAGAAGAAGATAAGAAAATGTGGGAATGTTTGGAACTTCCTTGAGACTTGTTGAATGGCTTTGATCAAAGTACTGACAGTTTTATGGACCATAAGGTCCAGGCCGAGGTGGTCTCAGATGGAGAGGAGGAGCTTGTTGGGAACTGGAGCAAAGGTAACTCTTGTTATGCTTTAGCAAAGACACCACTGGCATTTTGCCCCTGCCCTAGAGATCTGTGAAACTTTTAAATTGAAAGAGATGATTTAGGGTATCTGGCAGAAGAAATTTCTAGGTGTCAAAGTGTTCAAGAGAAAGAAGAGCATAAAAATTTGAAAAATTTGCAGCCTGATATTGCAGTGGGAAAGAAAAACCCATTTTCTGGGTATAAATTCAAGCCTGCTGCAGAAATTTGCATAAGTAACAAGGAGCCAAATGCTAATCACCAAGACAAAGCAGAAAATGTCTCCAGGGCATGTCAGAGAACTTTGCAGCAGCCCCTCCCATCACAGGGTCAGAGGCCTCAGAGGCAAAAATGGTTTCCTGGCCCAGTCCAGGGCCCCTCTCCTGTGTGCCACCTAGGGACTTGCTGCCCTACATCCTAGTCACTCTAGCTGTGGCTAAAAGGGGCCAAGGTACAGCTCGGGCCATGGCTTCAGAGGGTGCAAGCCCCAAGCCTTGGCAGCTTCCATGGGGTGTTGAGCCTACGGGTGCACAGAAGTAAAGAATTGAGGTTCAGGAACTGCTGCCTAGATTTCAGAGGATGTATGGAAATGCCTGGATGTCCAGGTAGAGGTGTCCTGCAGGCGCAGAACCCTCGTGGGGAACCTCTGCTAGGGCAGTGCAGAAGGGAAATGTGTGGTGGAAGCCCCTACATTGTCCCCACTGGGGCACTGCCTAGTGGAGCTGTGAGAAGAAGGCCACCATCCTCCAGACCCCACAATGGTAGACCCACTGACAGCTTGCACTGTGTACCTGGAAAAGCTGCAGACACTCAACACCAGCCCCTGAAAGCGGCTAGGAGGGCTGCTGTACCCTGCAAAGCCACAGGGTCAGAGCTGCCCAAGAATGAGAACCCACCTATTGTATCAGTATGACCTGGATGTGAGATATGGAGTCAAAGGAAATCATTTTGGAGCTTTCAGATTTGACTGCCTCATTGGATTTCAGACTTGCATGGGGCCTGTAGCCCCTTCATTTTGGCCAATTTCTTTCATTTGGAATGGGCATATTTACCCAATGCCCATAAGCCCATTTTACCTAACTTGCTTTTGATTTTACAGGCTCATAGGCAGAAGGGACTTGCATTGCCTCAGATGAGACTTTGGACTGTGGACTTTTGAGTTAATGCTGAAATGAGTTAACACTTTGGGGCAATGTTGGTTTTGAAATATGAGAACCTGAGTTTTGGGAGGGGCTGGGGTGGAATGATATGGTTTAGCTGTGTCCCGACCCAAATCTCACCTTGAATTGTAATAATCCCCCATGTCAAGGGTGGGGCCAGGCAGAGATAACTGAATCATGGGGGCCACTTCCCCCATACTGTTCTGGTGGTAGTGAATAAGTCTCACAAGATCTGACGTTTTTATAATGGGAGTTCCCCTGCACAAGCTCTCTTGCCTGCTGTCATGTAAGAGGTGACTTTGCTCCTCCTTCACCTTCTGACTTGATTATGAGGCCTCCCGGCCATGTGAAACTGTGAGTCAGTTAAACCTCTTTCCTTTATAAATTACTCACTCACAGGTATGTCTTTATTAGCTGTGTGAGAACAGACTAATAGAGTAATCTGATTCTTAGATTTCTAGGTATCAAATGGTTTTTACAAGTATTGAAAGTTTTCCTCCATGACACAGACTATCCATTTTAAGTATTACAATAAAGACTTTCTTGTTAATCATTCCTCAGTTATAATATTGTTTTTATAATTTTTGAGTATGCTAATATGTCAAAATGGGTAATGTTTTTTAAATTTTTTTATCTGGAGGATGGTCATTTTATTTAAACTAAGCTATCCTATCTTTGATTTTTGCATATTAAGTTTCTTATATTATCTTCAGGTGAAAACTAATTAAAGCAAAACAGAAATAAATAATTATCTGCCATGTTCCAGGCACTTTGGTATGTAAAAGGTATGCAATATATAAAATATTATCTTCAAAGGGTTCACACAACAAATAAATAGTAAGCTTGTGTACATTATTGGAAAAAAAAACTTAGAAGAAACATCCATGTCTGACTCATGAATTAATGAAGACACTGTAGAGAAGATAAAATTTGGGCTGAAACCAAGAATACATGGTATATTCCCAGGCAGAAAACAATCTAAGAAAGGTATCAAAATATGTAGAGGCAAAGCAGCAAGAAAGAGCATACCATATTTAGAAGACTTCCCAGGCTTCTGCACAGAGTTTATGAATGAGAGCAGCAGGAATTTGGACCTTTTATGTAGACATATTTTGGCCTGTGAAGCAGGCATCTTTGGTCTGATTCAATAATTTAAAATTAGATGGGGTATGTATGTGCATCTTTCAGGAGAGAGGATCTATTATTTTGAACACTATTAGAGAACTTTAAGATGCACAAAATATAAAAAACAACTTGTGAAGATTACAGACAACCATTGGTAGTTTTTAAAATACAGAATGATATGATTAATTTTAAATAGATTTTAAACAGAAAATCTTCCATGAAATGACCATATATGCAAAGTGACCCCCAAAATTGGAAGGAGCCAAGAAACCAAAGAACATGGCAAACAAATCCAGTTTGTTGGTGATGGGTGATTTATTGGGGAACTTATGTAAAGCATAGTCTTCGGCAGCAGCAAAACAGGTAGATCTCTACACTGTTACTCTTCAGAACCAAGGCTTACTACAGGGAAAGAGTTTATGTGGTCTATAGAGACAAGTAAACAGAACCCTTGAGAACAGGCAAGAATGCTATGTGTGTCAAAGGCCGTAATTTGTGCAATAACATTAAGGTTGCTTTGATCTAAAGACAGTATTTATAGTCAGTACGTGGTCTTCCACTAAGGACAGTAAATGAATAGAAGTAAGGAAGCATTGCTGGGACTGGCATTAATCAGAACTCAACAAGGTGGGTTAGCACCCAAGATGGAGTTACTTTTGTCTCTACAGGGAAGTTATATGATCAGATATAATAATCAATCTGGAGACAATATAAAGGGTTAATAAAAGGGGAGAAGCACCTGAGTCTGAAAGAAAAATTATCAGACCTGCAGTATTCCCAGTTAAAGATGAAGAGGACTTGAACTGGTGGGGCAGTAATTAAAATGGAGACAAGAGAGTGGATTCAAGGGATATAGAGATGAGTGAATCTGAATGATTTGTTCATGATTGCAAGGGAAAAGTATCAAATGGAACTCAAATATTGGGCTTGGGTAACCAAATGAGTGAAAATGCCATTTACTGTAGTGGGTGATGAAAGGCAAACCAAGTTTTGGCATGGAGATGATGGCTTTAGTTTAGAAATTGCTTAATTTAAGGTGCCTATTGATAACAGGTTGAAACTGCCAATCAAGCAGGAATGTATAGGAATCTGGAACTCAGGAAAGTAATATTGAATGGATACTAGAGACACGGTAGATTTGTTTAGTCATCAGTATTTAGATCAGAGTCAGGAATAGTAAATAATAATTAACTCATTTCCACCTTCCCATCCATGCCCATAGTGAGCTTTATTCATTGACTGAAACTTCTTACTGAGCCTAAATTTTATCTGGATTCTTAATATTGCTCTGCATTTATTAATCCGTTTTCAGTCATATAATTTGACATTTGATTTAATCCTTTCCTATATGCTTGATATAGACCATAACTGAAGGCAAGAATATGTGGTATAAGAAGAAGAAAAGCATACATATAGAGGCCTAGTCAAAAATATAAAATGAGTGCAGAAAAAAACACAAAGGAGACTTAAGAAGTATAGTTAGAGTAGAAAAACGGCTGAAAGAGTAGTGTCATGAAAATTAAGGAATCATGCATTTCAGAAATAAGCGAGTAGTGGTCAATAGTAGATCAACTACTCAGAGAGATCCACTTCCTTATAAAAGTCTATAATTGGCCAGGCGTGGTGGCTCATGCCTGTAATCCCAGCACTTTGGGAGGCCAAGGTGGGGGGATCATGAGGTCAGAAGATAGAGACCATTCTGGCCAACATGGTGAAACCCCATCTCTACTAAAATACAAAAAATTAGCCAGGCGTGGTGGTGTGTGCCTGTAGTCCTGGCTAGTCAGGAGGCTGAGGCAGGGGACTCACTTAAACCCAGGAGGTGGAGACTGTAGTGAGCCAAGATCATGCCACTGCACTCCAGCCTGGCGACAGAACAAGACTTGCCTCCAAAAAAAAAAGTCTGTAATTGCCTTCAAACTAAGATATAATGGATAACACAACTTACATAATGTCAGGAATTGTAGAAAGAGAAACAAGATTGCTGTAGGTTAATATGGAATCCGAGATGATGAAGGATTTTGGTACACATTTAAAAAAATTAGCTACGAAAGAATGAAAAATGGGTAGTGGTAGCTAGAGGGAATGAAAGGTATACTTTGAAGAAGAGTTTTTCATTTTTAAGATTAAAAAATTAATCTATTTAAATATTTAGAGAGATATTCCCATCAATAAAAAATGTTTACAAGTGACGTGATTGGAACTGAGCTTTAAGATTTCTGGTATTACAGTGGAGAATGTATTTGGGTAGAGAGATACTTAATGTGAGGAGGCCACCTCGGAGGCAATCAAACAAGGGACAATGAGGAACCAAATTAGGCTGTGGTCTTGAGAATGTAAAGAAGATAAATTCAAATAATATTTATGGTATCTTTGGCAGGACTTCACGACTTACTGGATTTAGAGTGTTTGAAAAGGATATATGTTGTTGATAATTCTGATTTTGGTGGTAGGGGACAGTGGCTCTAATTAATACAAGGATGCCTTCCTTGGAGGGGAAGTTTGACAAGGAAATAAATAAAATCTAATGAATAAGACACCCAAATGGAGATGTTCAAAAGTTTAGGAATGTGAGACTAGAGATCAGGATTAAAAATAAAATCTGAGATACTCCCGGGGTCATACTTTAAGCCACAGTCGTGGCAAAAGGGTGGTAGACTGCTGATCTTGATACTTCATTTTCACTTTCTATCTTATGTTCTTAGCTTTGCTCATCTTTTAGACATTTTCTTGCTGTTAGGCACTTATTTCTGGTCCATTTGGTTTTAATTTTCAATATACTCATTGCCATTTTAGCAACCTCCTGGCCCTGCTGCTGCAAACCCATGTTCTGTACAAATAAAGCTCTGCTGTCTCTCATTATTGTCTCCCTTTCTTATTTCCTAATTCTTTCTTTTCTTCTTTCCTTCCTTTCAGTTATCTTTGGCCCTCTGTTTTATATTTAATTTCTCCCAATTGTCCTTACTCTTCAAGTTACTAGTAGATGATTCTTGTCATCACCCTCACCCTCACCTCTCCACTAACTCCAGATTAGTTTATTGGATGTTTATAATCAGAATCTGCAAGGATTTGCTGAGGAAAAGCATTTTGAAATAGATTATTAAATGTTTTGGGGATTGGTATCTTTTTAGCCTTCTAATATGGTAAGTTGCTTCTTGTTACTAAAGAGTTGATAGGTAAGAAATTTAGGAAGGAGGACCTTTGAAAAATAAATGTCTGCTCCATGGTGATTTCCAAGTTTTAGTTTTCATAGGTCCAAGAAATACCAGGGAACACTGCAATAGCCTTTATAACTTCAAAAAGAAAGGTAAAGAATGTTGTATTTTTACTCCTGAGTGAATATATATATATCTGATATACATTAGAAAGGCAGTGTGAATGCAATAATCTTTTCCCATCTAAAAAGCAAAATATGGATCTTAACTTCTTATGCATAAACTAGAAATTTCTGGAATTTTAATGTGTTCAAGTGTTATTTCAATCCAAGCAACTGATGATTAAAGAAAAACAAAATCTGTCATGACTCAGTACTTCTATTGATCAATACAGCAAGCTGCCTTTGAAGTTTATATGCTGAGGTCTTAAAAGTGCAAATGAAATAGGTACCAGATCACTCTAATACCCAGCTAAGACATATATATTCATTTTCCTCTCTTCTTAAGTAGCATGATAAAAAACTATTTGAAGTATACAATAAAAAATTCTGTGCAGTGTTGCCCTGCTAATTGCTGTTTGAGTTTGTGGATCAGAAGACAAGTCAATCTTAATGGCCATTATTCAGAACTGTATGTGACAATTCTGCTTATAAGGAAAGTAACATATATTTCTATGCAAGTAAGCTAAACAATATTAAGGCACAATACAATCAGCCAATATTTGCTAACCTTTCATTAAGAAAACGAGCTTAAATTGAAAGCTAAATCAGTAATAATGATTATTAGTGTTGCAACTTGCATTTATTACATGCCTAACAAGTGTCAAGAGTTTTACCTAAATCATGCCTATTCTTATGTTAAATGAGTTCTGTTACCACAGTGAGGAAAAGGCCCGCTCGGGAAGGTCTAACATAGAGGACCTCTACAAGAAAATTGTTTTTCTGACATAAATTTAGTATATATCATAGTCAATATGAATGAAATTATTTCTCTGATAAAAAATTATATATGGGATAGGCTAAAGGGCAAATGAGTTAGGTCTGGCTATGCTTATTTTGAGATAGCCAACAGATATTTTAACAATTCACTAGTAAAATGTTCTGGCTAAATAAAAGTGAAAATAGATAAAATTTCTTGAACAACATGGTTGGGTCAGGATATGTAATTAATATGCTTATGGTTAAATTATAGTTTATTGTGTATTTCTTATTCCACACGGTACTATCTTAAGAAACCTCTGGGGAGGAGTGGTAGGTAGGTGAATGGGATTGGATGCTATTAATGGTTGTTTAACAGTTTGAAGGTTTGATGAGCTCAGGTTGAAATATTTATATTTACGAGAGAAGAAACCATTAATCCATCCTGAAAAAATAGCTTACAATCAATAACCATGTGTATCCTGTGGTTGTCACTGATGGAAGTGGAAAGCTTTTAATATACATAAAGGTTGACAATTACAATTGAATTTCTTGTTCTTTATTACATGATCCATAGGAAAATATTCTCTTAAAGCAATGTAAATTACTATATCTTGGAATTATTTATTAAAATATGACAGCTTTGTTGTACTTTTAAAAAATGAAAGCAAGAGCTAGCAATCTATTCCAAAATAAGCATTTCTCAGAAATGTTGCAATAGTGTTTGAAAAATTTTACAAGTTTTATTTGGAACTAAATATATTCTTTCTAATTATCAGAATTTATCATTTCAATATATAAAATGTGAAGTATGATAAAAATGTATTATTAATCCTAAGTGAAAACTGAAAGCAACTAATTCCCCATAACTTTCTTTAAAAAAAATTTTTTTTATTTTACTTTAAGTTCTCAGATACATGTGTAGAACGTGTAGGTTTGTTACATAGGTATACATGTACCATGGTGGTTTGCTGCACCTATCAACCTGTCATCTAGGTTTTAAGCCCCGCATGCATTAGGTATTTGTTCTAATGCTCTCCCTCCCTTTGCCCCCCACCCCGCAGCAGGCCCCAGTGCCTGATGTTCCCCTCCCTGTAACCATGTGTTCTCATTTTTCAACTTCCACTTACGAGTGAGAACATGCGGAGTTTAGTTTTCTGTTCCTGTGTTGGTTTGCTGAGAATGATGGCTTCCAGCTTCATCCATGTCCCTGAAAAGGACATTAACTCATTCTCTTACCATTGTATTACTTGGTAGAAGATTTATCAAACTCCACGACTATTAGTTAATTTTTATATGCCTGAAGAACAATATTATTTATTTTATCTGCTAAAGATAAGCCAAGTTTACATGAGATATAAATGTAATCAAAATTAATATTTAGCAAACAGATATAAACATTTAAAGCTGAAATATTTCCTGAGTAGTTATTTATCTGAGTTGCTTTTGTTTTGTTTTGTTTTTCTTAACAGTAAAGATTGAAGTAAAAGATGAAGGCTTATTGTGCTTTAGAAAGAGATTCAGATCCAATTATTTAATCTCGGCACTTTCTTGCCTACTGTATCAAATTAAATCTATCTTCTCCTCTTAAGTATATTCACCCATTTTATGGTGCTAGTTGGTACCTATTTCATTTCCCTTCTTAAGTATATTTACCCATTTTATGGTACTGGTTGGCACCTATTTCATTTGGACATCTAAACCCATTCATAGTTGGGATGGTGGAAAAATGAATCCAAGTCCCAAATCTTTCAATAAGGAAAGGATCCACTAAAGTTTTCCTTTCAAATACCAAAGGATTTAAAATGGTACAGTTAAACCCATTGTAACAACACAGTCTACAATTTGGAGTTTTAAAAGTAAAGATTATTACAGAATGATAATACCTATCGACTTGGAAAATAAAAGAGACTACAGAAACAAACCGAGAACAGGCATCCATTCTATTTTACCTTTGAAATTTGACTCTTTTGTTTTGATCTGGTTTGTTTCTGGAAAGGAGAAGTGTATTAAATCTGAAAGATCCTGAAGCTCACTCACATACTAGTGTAACTTATAGAAAGTGCAGTGGACAGGGAATTTGGGAGTCCTCAAATCCAAACCACTAATTTTAGATGAGTTATTGGAAGCTTAGAAAGGGTAAATCATTCCCTCAATGCTTTAAAATTGGTGTAAAAGACTCAAGCCTGGAACTAATTATTTGATGTTTTTTCAGTCACAACATGCTATTTGAAGGAAATCACACCAAAAGCATTTTCTAAATTGAAATTTTTGGGGGATAATTTATTAACTTGAGTTAATAGCAGGTCTATATCTGAAATCAAGTTGATATTCTCATGAAAAAATGTAATTAGAACTGTATGTTGTAGACATTTCCCTTAATGTATTAGGGTTTTAAATAGATAAAACCTACTAATTTTTAAATTTCATGAAGACTTCTATCTATAATATTGACAGCTTAATTTAGCATATTATTTAAATAATTTATTATTACTTGCAATGTATGTCTTTATTTGTGTCTTGATTTTCAACCAAGAACCTTACATTGTATGGCCTCAGGCAAGAGAGGTTTTCTGGGTGTCTTTGTCATCTCAATTGTAAGTGGATTGATTTTGACAATGTGATCCTGTAGATTCATTTCAGTCACAACAGTCTGTCAGTGCCTGGGATTTTTACTGGGCTTTTTAAATGACACTCACTAGTCATCCTAGTTTTATTGATTTTACCCCAGAATGTTAATCAAATGGTATCCCTTCTTTCTAACTTTCTTGCTCTTTTTTTCTTCTTTCCCTTCTCTCTCCTTCACCTTTACCTTTTGCCAGTCTTCTCACCTTCATTCTCACTCTTGGGACTTAAGACCTCAAACAATAGTAAAAGAGGTAAAATTACTTAGTTCAGCTTATTTCCATACATAGGTCAGACTTGAAATACCTGTGTTTCACAGAAACTAAGTTCTTTCAGATAAATGGAGCTTGGTGGGAATAGATGTCCCGAAATGTTTATCATAAAAGCACACAACTGATGAAATACTAAAATGAGATCAAACCACGAAGAAAAATGAAGAAAAATGCATTGAAAAGCACATAGCTGTTTTAGTATTGTTAACATGGGAATAGAAGATGATATATATAGTTATGTTAGTACTTTCATTTATGTAGATTTTTTTTTGTAATTTTATTTTTATTATTTGTGCAGCTGCATTATAAGTGCCTTGTATTGCCATGCCTGCATAGAATGGTATTGCTGACACATCATTAGTAATAAGAGATTTTCATTCCTTAAGACAAAGACTTTAATGATCTTTCTGAAATCATAGTTAGAAAGTTAATATTTGAAATGCATTACATGTTTTAACAAACAGAATGTGGGCTACAGATTTTTTTTTCTTTTTTTATGTATCTACAGCTCACAGAAAAACTAAATGTACCTCCCTGGGTTGTGATTTGTTAGGATGAACTAAAAAATATTACTGTCCCTTGGAGGACGTTAGGAACCTACAATGAATTTGAAACATACCATGCACTTCTTACAGGATAAGTAGATTCATTCAGAAATTAACTGAAAGCCGAAAGTAGCTGTTCTGCCAAATATGACCCGAATCTCCACTGAAGTCAGAGGTGATGTTAGTGAATAATTATGATCTTGATTCTTAGATTGCCAGCGAATTCCTCTCACAATTAGTTTGACCAGATATGTTCAGAATCCCAGGCCCTGAAAGCTAGAAGTGATACTAACAATGAGATTAGCAGCAAAAGGAAGGCAGCGTGGTAAGGTGGAAGCACACTGATCTGAGAGTTAAAAGCTTTGGTCCCGGTGTTGGTTTCACAGTGTTTGCAACTAAAAATCTGTGAACAAAATCACTCATTAATAAAGAAACAAAACTAATTTTGTTCATTCCTAACTAAAGTTGTTTGAAGACTTTCAAATTTCCTTCCGTAAGTAAAATTCTGGGTCTAAAGCCACAATTTTCAAAGTTTGAACACCTGATTTCCCTTTTCATCAACTTATTAGGAGAGATTTTAATATGTAGAGCAAAGAACAGTGAAGATACTCAGTGAAAGCAGAAAGAGGGGACAAAGGCCCACACTTCCACTGTGACCCCCATCCTCAGTCCAGAGCAGGGTCTTCAGAGCAAGTCTGCAGAGTTGGACAATACTGAGAAGCCCTAATTTTGGACAAGATAAAATATTAGCAATTATAAACAGATAAGACTACTATATCCCATTTGAAAATACACAAGGAGGAAAATGCCACAAACTCTCCGCATTTAATAGGATTATGGACCCAGCAAAGTTTCCCCACTTGTACAAACCACCCTGTGGCCATGCGCTCACATGCTTCCATTGTGTGGATATGCTTCTGGGCCACCCTGAAAATATTTATATATCCACTGCCACCATGGAAAAATCATAGATTTGCTTTTCACGTTTTAAAAATAGGAAATTTCAAATAAGTCAGTTTCTAAAGATTACATCTACTACGTTTACTTATGTGAAAACAAATGTAAGCAGGAAGCAAAACGCAAATAGGGAGGAACATGACCAGGATGGAGTTAATAACGTGAGAGGCACGTTTGCTTATTGAATTTGCATTCACATGCTCAGTAGAGCCCATTCTTAATTGGTATCGTTAGTGATTATAAAGTCACAACATGTTCACTAGTGTCTTAAGAGACCTGGTTGCAGAAAAGAGACCATTGCCTGTCTGATGAATCTATTCCTTTCACTTTGTTTTCCTGTTTATAAAAAATATGTATTTTTTAGCTTTCAAAGGTTAAACGTATGTGGTATAAAAATGCAAGCAACACAGATAAAGCAAAAATGTACTCTCCTTTACTCCCAATAACTACTAGTAAGTAGTGGTTAACAGGATTGACCACTGTTAACCTCTAATTCTAACCCCTGTCAACCTCCAGTTGTAAACTTTGGGGAGAGAGAAAGAGGTATATAAATAGAGAAAACCTATGCAAACATAAAATCACACACTTTTTATTTGCATACATGGGAGTATTTAGCATCGCTTTCTCTTTTTAACTCAATGCTATGCTATGGTCATCCTTCCTTCTGTGTCAGTGTGAGTGAAAAAAACACAAACTTTACACCACAACAATCAGCATTGAAGACTTCTGTGACTTAATGTGCAGAGATTTCTCCCCACCAGCAAGCAAGAAGTCTATTCTGCTGCAGACACCAGCTAGCTGTCTTCCAATTCAGTTCTGACACTCTACCTGGAGATAGCGTCAGATCCCACAGGTTGAGACTCAGTCCCAGAAAACTGCACCCCCTTCAGACACCAGTTGCATGTCCAGGCCTCTGGAACTTCTGACAGACCTGCTTTCAGTTGGGTTCTCATAACCCCTCTTTGGGTTAGATTAACCTGCTAGGACAGTTCAGGGAAATACTTACATTTACCAGTTTATTATAAAAAGAATATTACAAAGAATACAGATGAAGAGATGCAAAAGGCAGGGTGTGGGGGAAGGAGCACAGAGCTTCGGTGCCCTCGCTGAGTGTGCTGCTCTCTGGGAATCTTCATGAGTTCAGCTGCCTAGAGGCTCTTCATACCGTGTCCTCTTCGGTCTTTTATGGAGACTTCATTGGCTAGTTACGATTGAAGCAATGAACAATTATGCATAAATGTGATTGGACAAAAGGGTGTGATCTAATGCTAATAGACTGAGTGGGGGAAACCCAGCAAGGCCTGTGCAGATTCTTTTTGGCTTTTCAATGCAGCATTCCTTCCTCCCAGTTATGGGGCCAGACCTATATTCAGAAAAGTTAAGTCAGAGAATACCTATGGTCAGCTCCAAGACAGAAAAGCGGGAGGAAATTAGAGTCACGCCTTGGGCAGGTGCAAGGAGGATGGGAGAAGATCAGAGAGGGATTCTGCTTTCTGAGGCCTAAAGTGCCCCAACATTATAACAAAAGCCTGTATTAAGGGTTATGGGAGTCATAAGCTAGGAACCATGGGAAAAAAAACCATTTATACATATAATATCACAGTCAGTATGTATGAAAATTTTGTAAGAAAAACCTGCATAGCTGACTAAACTCTTTAGTAAACAGAAAAATTTTCCTTCAGTTAGTGCATCAAATCAAGCAGGATAGCAAATGTTCTTAATCATACTTCTCCAATAAAGTAGGTTAAGATTTCTCATATATTTACAAAAATGAAATGTAACCAGTCCTTGAACACTCTTAAACTAGTAGGTGGAAACATCTTTTTTTTTATTCCAATCATTGCCTTCGTGCTGTGTCTGATATCTATTGCCTGTCCCTTAAAAGCATCTCAGGCAGGTCTCATAGATTCTCATGCATTTTCAGATATTAATATTCTCATTAGTTCAGTTTAAAACTTCAGTCACTTATCCAATTTACCATGTATCATTCCCATCGACTTTCCTCCCCAGTACAGGTGCCTAGGCTGGGAATAGGGCATGACCTGCTTTTCTATGCTTTCACTACACTTCTGCCCTCTTCCTTGCTATTCTGGGATTTCTTCTTCTCCAGTGTATTGGTGACCTTAGAGGAAAGATGGGGTAAAAGAGGTAAACTCCTCTTACTTAATTGGTGGTATTGTGATTTTCTCACTATTGATTCTTGAAATTTCTCCAATTGTACACTCTGGGTGGCCGGTTTCCCCATGCTGGCTCTTTGACAGAGTATCTGTTGTTTCCTTAAAGGATCTTTCAATAGCCTCATGATGGCAAAATCAATTTTCAATGCAGAAAATCTACCCTAGCTCGGTGTCTTTTAACCTTTTATCTCCTTCCTCAACTTCAAGGGCACTAAGGCCCATCAGCAAGTTTGCTACAAAAATGCCCTATTGAATAAGTTGCCGGGCTCTCTTTGTGATTATCTCAGATCTCTGCAAGGGATTCTCTTGACATTCCCGGGGGTAGAAGATTGGGAAAAGGGCACAAACTAGGTTAAGGCTGAAGGTCCACACCTTTCAGTTTTTGCTTATACAGGCCAGAATGGGAGGGCTAGGATGAAAATTTAGGGAGCACGGGTGGATTGGCTGCCAGAGGCCACCCTCTTTTTAGAATATGAAGTGCTTTCTGCTTGTCTTTGTTTCCTAGCAGTCAATTCTAGACAACTGGAAAATTCTTCCTCAACATCCATTACATACACAGAAACTAAAGAAAGTCACAGAGAGATTTACCTTACCTTTTAAATCAGAATAAATTATTAATGGAAAATGAGCAAACCATTCAGGACTTTGGGTTTAGCACTTTGTGTTTGGTCCTCTAAACTAATTTCCACTAAACATTACTCCTATAAGTTTTGCAAGATAAAAATGTTTAGACGTTTTCTTGGATTGGAAAATGTGCTCTGAGGTGCAGAGGGCTTATTTGGAAGTGCTCTGAAAGACACACCAGCAAAGAAGCTAGAGGAGTTAAGATCCAGGAAAGGGCAGAGGGAGCAGCTGCAATGATGTTGCAAATAAAGCCTGGGCTCCTCCTACAAAGGAGCTCAGGAGCAGGCATAGCCCTTCAGAGTTGTGCCAAATTGAGACAATCTAGAGGCTGGGGCCTTTCTATCCATACCTTATCAGCCAGTCAGTAGCTGAATCCTGTCCCCTGAAAAGGGTTCAGCCTACGATGAGGAAGTTCTCTTAGGACAAGGGCAATGCCCAGTGAGACTGCTGTGAGCCCTCAACAGCTAATATTTCCAGCAGCTGGGGTGGTGCCTCTGCCTAAAGAGGATATACAGAAAGCACCACTGCAATATCCATTACAGAAAATATGAATTCATTCTAATATTCTACTAGGATAAGTTGTTTCTGTTTGAACATACGTTAACCAAGGATTCTATCTCATAAGTGCCTGGTGCCTAGTATCAATATTCAATTTAAATAAAGAGGCCTTGCTTCAGTTCTTCTAAGTGTAAAAATCTCTAATGTGTAATTGTTAATATACTAATTATGTAAGTTTTTTATATAATAAATGATTGATTTTTGGCCAGAAGTAGTAATGTGCATTACACATTCTTTTCATTATATTATTATTAATGATGATTCCTAGAACTTATATTCCAGGAAGAACTGTATTTCTCTTGTAGATGATGAAGTAGGTACATCCACATTTGTAAGATCTTTGGTGCATCCCAGATCAACAAGTCTTGCATCTTGGGTTTGTAAACTAATCGATAAAGCCATCCAACCCTCCCAGACACATGGCCACAAAGTGACAAGAATCCAGAGATAAAGGTACCGATTTTTTCTAAAAGGATATTACAAAAAGCAAATGAGCAGGTATTACTTCTAGATATAAATAGTTACAATGTCAGAGAAGGTAGTGAATGCACTTTAAAAAAAGAGCAATTTTTTTAGGATAGTGGCACAAAAAGAAAATCTCATAAAGCTGCAGAAACTTACAATTTTGGAAGCAATTGACATGTGTAAAATTATTCATGGATCAAAAGTTGCTAAGAGCCTAAACTCTTTTCTAGTTTCTAGAGAATCAACATATTGAAGACATGACTTAAATTGTAAGGACTTAGCAGATGAATAGAATTGGCAAAGGATTAATTTTCCAAAGTGTCGAATCTCCAGATATAAATTACACTGCACTGGCACTTTGTTCACCAAATGCATTGGAGAAAAGATATTATCCTGCTAGGTGTCCTTGCTTTTGCCTCAGAAATGAACATTTAGAGTAATGTCTAATCCTTTTTATATTGATATTATAGTAAGAAATGGAAAAATGTGCAGGATATATTATCATTAACTCTTATTTGCTTATATCTCTTCTTATTCAAAACATTTTATTTTCCTATTAAAATAAAAACATTTTTAGAAACTCAGAGAATTGATGGGTCAAGTTAAAATGTTCTTATGACAAGATGGGTGAATCTTTTTCCTAGTACGCTGCACCTAAGAGGCTCAGTATCAAGAAAGAAAAATCAACAAAGAGGATTTGGTTCATGAGTAAAAAATACAATAAGGAGGAATAACATCTAGTGTTCAGTAGCACAGTAGGGTGACTAGAGTTAACTTTTTTTTGTATATTTGAAAATAAGTGGAAAGTAGAATGTTTCTAATACAAATAAATGATACATGTTTAAGGTAATGTATATCTTGACTACCCTGATTTGATCATTACACATTTGTACGCTTGCAGCTTGTTTTAAAATATCACATGTATCCCATAAATGTGCACACCTATTATGTATCCATAACAATTAAAAATTTAAGAAAGAAAAATCAACATAGTCATAAATACTCATTAAATTTCTTAGCTCTCATAACTACATGTATGTCTGCATGACACAGAAATGAACATCAACACATAGACACAGATGATTGATGGATCCATGGTTAGGATCAGTGTAATCAGTGTAAATTAAGCAAACTGTATGATATAACCGCATTTCTCATTACTATATGCAATAATTTGCCTAGTCACAGTTTATACACTGAGTGTCCAAGAGTCACTAGTTTAATTAAGTAATTTTATGATCTGATATTCACAAACTTTATAAAAATAAATGAAAGTTGAAAAGAGGGACATTGATGAGATTTGTAAAAGTCATAAGATACAGTTAAGAAAAGGGAAAGCTAAGAGGAATTTCAAGTAATACTTCTTAATGCAATTGTGATATCCTGGAAGAGTTTCTAAAAGTTGGTAGCAAATGTGCTATTAGAGAGAATAAAGTTCAATAAGGTGACTCATTCTACTCAGCACCTTCTGGAACTTGAAGATTCAGGTGGACTGGGAAAGCATCATTATATATTTATTCTCTCTAATAGCACATCTAGAATTCAGCACCTTCTGGATTCAAAGATTCAGGTGGACTGGGAAAGCATCATTATATATTAAATGTGTTGTGTTGCTTTATTTTTCTCTATTGGTAGCTATGGAAGGTTAAAAGCACCTTCAGTCCATTAGGAGTGGGACTCTAATTGAAACAAATTTAAGAAAGCCAGGCACGGTTGCATGTGCTTATAGTCCCAGCTGCTCTGGAGGATAAGGTGGGAGAATCTCTAGCTTAGGGGATTAAGGCCAGCATGGGCAACATAACATCTCTTTAAAAAATAAAATAAAATAAGGAGACTACTGCTGGGCTCTTGAGATGGTAGATGTCAGGAGTGTTTCCTACAACTAGAGAAGGTGAACTCAAGTTAGCATTGTTCCAAAGCTTGTCAGAACCCTGGACTGTGGTCTTTTCTCAAGTTTTAATTGTAATTTTCATATCAATGCATCAAGTACCTCTTAAGGTTCCACCATATTGCAAGTCATTGAATCAAAGTCTGTGTCTGGAGTGTGCAGTGTAGGAAAGAATATTCTCTTTGCTTTTAAAAACATTTTGGAGGGACTAGTTTAGACATTTGGTACTGATTCAGTGTTTCTAAATAACTTCCTTAGAGTATATTAAAGACAGGATGGGAAAGATGTCTAGTATTGTGTAAAGCAGGGTGCTCTCATTGTTTTGAACACATAAGATTGTCTATATCACAATCATTGGCACTCCTGTGAACTTTACTAGGGTGATTGAGTTAGGTTACAATAAAAATCATTCTTCATTAACTTATATACTATTTTAACATAAACTGGAAAGGAAAGGAAATCTGGTTAATTTTCTTAAGTTATAGGCCCCTAAAATGTACATATTTCTTAGTGCTCAGGGAAATACTAGAGCAAAATATTCTTTCATTTATTTTGATCATCAGACTACTAGGTTATTCACATCTTGTGAAACTTTTAGTTGAAGAATTTTCTAAAATTCTGCTCATGCTTGTATTCAATATATTTATAATAACTCCACCAAATATGCCTAATTTGTAGACCCATTTGTTGTAATACTTGTAAATAGTTTTTTTACTTTTCCTGTAACTTTCTTGGCTAATGAAGTTTGCTGGTTGGATTTGTTCTGATCATCCTTAAATCCTTCCATGCTGACAGTTTTAATTAAAAGAAAAATTTCCAATCATTTCTCTAATGCCAGAGAAATGCTAAGTATAAATCATTTCTATTCAGAATTTCAATACCATGTCTTCTGCTAAAGCCTCATGAAATAGTTTTGGCATGTGTGGAATATTTCATAGATTGTATAATAAATGTGAGCAATACTTTACTTCTTTTAAAAAATGCTATTAGAGGACCTAAACAGATTACAAATGTAGTATTCTTGATGTTTTGCTATTTTAGTCTCATTATGGGTTTAATTAGGTCTTCTAATTTTGAAATTTTGTCAAACTTTGTCACACTTTGCCTCAGCTACTGATTTTTTTTTTAAATCTTGTTTGGGGAGTTTTATGTCTGTTGGTGACATTTACTCAAAATCATCTTCAGAGAGATGAAACAAATGGTGGATTTTCATTTTAGCAGCATTTTTATCATCTCCCAATAAATTATTCTTGATAATTATTAAAGTAAGGATGGCCTCTTGACAGACTTTTGGGTGTTAATTGCCCTGGAAAAATATCTTAGCTTTATTATGTATCCCTCTTCTATCATTTAACTTAAAAAAAATTTTCCCTGTACTCTTGCCATTTGTTTTCTTTACTTCAACTTATCTGTCTTTGTCTTAAATCTCCTCAGTTTAACTGAGAATCTGAATACCCCATGAAAGAATTATGCATTTCTGGACCTGATGAGGAAGTTATGCTGACACTAAGATGACAGAATCATAACACTAAGTACAGAAACAAGAGTGCAGCCATTCAGGGGAACACATAGTTTAGTTCTCTTTGATCAAAGCCAGACCCTAAAATTAAAAGGCCAACCATTGCCTCTCATTTTCAGACCCCAAGAAAAAGAGATTCCAAAGTCTGCTGAGTAAACAAGTCTGGGTGTTATGCTTAACCAAGAGGCACAAGTGAACATTTCTCCCTTTAGAATTTATTCTTATTTATTTTAATTATATGTATTTAACACAGAATTATAATCAGAATGCTTTGCTTCTTTACTTTCAGCAGTGGTGGATTATCCAGGTGGTTTCTGGGCTATAGGTCCTATTTAGGCCTATGTGCCCCACTGAGATAGGATGCAAAGATAAAGTTGCGGTCTCTCCTACCAGTCCCTAGAAGGAAGTAATAAGCCTCAGTAAACCCATTTTACAAATAGGAAAACTATAGTCCAGAGAATTTATGTGACTTGCTGGAAATTATGAAAATAATACATACAAGAGCACATATTTAAATTAGTTTCTAACTTCAAGCTCACTTCTATTTCCAATAGTAGCCCATTATTTTAGCATGTTCCATTTCGACATTCAAATTTGGAGAAAACGCAAATGCTGGTTTCATACCTAGTTGTTCTCCAAAGACATAGGGACACATTTTATCAGCTAACAGATTAAGAGAAGTCTAGCTACCTGTGCATTCAGTAACAGAGCATTTCAAGACTTTAAAAACATGTAGAGAACCTCTATCATATGTCACTGGTGATGGGGTGATTTTTATTAGTTGTTTGTTTATGCTTCCCGAAGTATGGCAATCTAATTATGCCATTATCTTTGCTACAAATGTTTTCATTACTTAGAAAATCATTCTGCTCTTTTTGAATCTCAGGTACTTTTATTTGCTTTTCATGACCTCCAGTAACTGCGAGTGCTAAAATGTTATTATACATGCTGGGAAAATAAATATGTCCATTCATTTTAAATTTCCTGCCCTTTAATTTCATTGAATTTGTCCCCTCAATCTTTTATTATGCATCAGGATATAAGGGCAGAGCAAATTCATTTTTATTCTGCCCTTTGTTATTTTGAAAAACCAATGTCAACTCTTTTTAATTTCCATTATTCTGGATTGTTAATTCTATACTTTTCACATTTAATTTTACAAGTCTAATTAGTATCATCCAGATCATCAGGCAGAGAAATTAGTAGCCATAAATTAAGCCACAGTTTTAAAAATGGGTTTAAAAAAATACGTTGAAAGATGACTTGATCTAATATGTTACACTTTCACTGTGGGATTTGTGGAAGAGCCATCTGGCTTGTGGTCCTCCTGCCCTTGAATTGAAATCTGGGTTAATTGAGGCAAAGCTGAGCTTGCTCTTTTGTGAAATATGTGGAAGGCTACTGCTCTTTTAATTGAGAAAATCATCAATACTGTCTTGACATTTGGATATATTCCCATTTTGTTTAAAATGTCAGCTATTTGCTCTCATATTTAGTTGTCTCTTGCCCTATAAGGTTTTTAATTTAAATTTCCACCCAAAATGGCATCCATCTCTAATGTTGTAAGAAATGCACTATTTTCATTGCAGTCTTGTTCCAAAATTCAAGAGCCCAACTCAAATGAAGAAATTTTAAAGATATGTTTCTTCTTTGAAATATCTTTAAAATAAGAGATAAAAAGCATTTGAATAATGACATTTTGCAACACTCCAAGAGTTCTGAAGGATAAGGTTTATAATTAGAATGAAGTTTTTTTCTAACCTGAGAGAGCCTACTCCCTTTATCCCCCAATACATATTTCAATGTATCCAATCATTTATTCATTTCCTTGTCCATCTCTTACAATAGATTGTGAGTTCTTTGAAGGCAAACTGCCTATTATTTGTTTATCAGTAAATCTATAGCCCCTAGCCCAATTTATGGGCTCAATAAATGTTTGTTATGAGAATAAATACTTAGCCAGCATGGCAAGAATGTAGCAAAAGTAGATGACCTTTTGATTTAAAATGTTTCATCCATGATATTCAATGAATACCTTGAAGTATAATGACTGCCTTATCCATTGTTAGAAGTGTTGAACTTGAAGCTGTGAAGACTTTTTGGGTGCTTGTGGGTTCTCAAGCAGCTAATTGCTTCTTTTATAAACCATAATTACTTTAAAACCAAGGATGAGAAATGAGGACATTAAAGGAAGCTTCAGCTAGGAATTACTTTAATCTGTAATTATCCCGGTGTGTCTCCCTGCCTCTCCTGGACTGTGAGCCACATAAGAGCAGGCAGCGTATAGGATTTCATCTCAAAGGCTGTAGCACCTACCACAGGACCTAACACAAATAAGTGTTTTATAATTCAATATTTCTTGGGCATTTCATGAAGTCAAAAATGGTTGGAATAAGTATTTTCACTGAAATAATCTAACCGTGGCAATCCTGCCTGCCTTCCTTTTAGCACCTTTGCATCTGTTTTCCCATTGATTACTTTAAAATCCCCATTCCCCCTTTATTCTTTCCCTAAGAAACTCATACAGCTGCCTTGCTACTTATATAAACTTTTGGATAAATAGCAGTGCTTAAGCATCACACACTGGGGCCTGTCATGGGGTGGGGACTAGGGGAAGAATACCATTAGGAGAAATACCTAATGTAGATGACAGGTTGATGGGTGCAGCAAACCACCATGTCACGTGTATACCAATGTAACAAACCTGCACGTTCTGCACATGTATCCCAGAACTTAAAGTATAATAAAAATTAAAAAAGAGTTTTGCTAAGTCATAAATAAAGCATTCTATTTGCAAGGTAAGTGGCTAATGGAAGGAACCTCTTTTATATTCCTAGTATCATAATTTTACATAGTGATACCTTTCTGCAAGCTCCCAGTGCTTTGGCAGCTGTTATTTATGCTTACAACAAACATCCAGTGAAGAGCCAGGATATACCATGTCATATTGCTTTCATACTATAAAAGAATAACCTGAGCTCTGGATGGCTAAGTGATTCACAGGCTTGCAGTTCATCCCTGGACTTTGGGGGCCCTCCTTGCAAATTCCTTGGTGCAGCCATTTAGAGGCAATAAAAACATTGGCATGGCTGCTCAGAAAATACTATGCTGAAGTCTTATAAACAAATCACTTAATATGGTTATTATCCATATGGACTTAATATTTTAACAACTATTACTTGAAATGGAAATAAGCAGAATATGTAGGAATACCATAAGTACATTTTCCTTCTAAATTCTGACTTTAATATATATTTCTATAAGTAATTCTGTAATCTTTAGTAAATGAAGTTCTGCAATACTCGAAACATAGCCAGATATCTAATGATAAAATAGTTTTGCATATAGAGCCACAAAATAATTCCAACCAAAAGATAAGAACAAAGACATATTGCACTAAAAAACTTTGTAAACCAGATTTAGTAGAATATACCTTTTTGCTTATTAAGATGAAAATGTTTATTTAATAAGAAAATTATAGAGCATTACACTTGAAGGTGATGATTTAAAAAATAACTCTAGCCTTAATTAGTAAGTATCAATGACTGGCTAAAAAGATAATAAAATAGATTATAACTTTTTTTCAAATAATTAGATTTATAGGAAGTTGAAGAACTAGTCCAAAGATGCCCTGTACCCTTCACCCAGTTTTCCCTAATCGTTATATTCTATTTAACTATAGCGCAATATCCAAAATGAGAAATTGACATTGGCAAAATGTGTTGTGTAGTTCTATGCCATTTTATCAAGATGCAGAATGATTCCACCATGATAAAAATATTTGTGCTACCACCTTATAGTTATACCCACCCTCATCATCCCTACCATCCTTTAAACTCTAGCAATCATTAATTTATTCTTCATATCTATAACTGTGTCATTTCTAGACTATTATTGAAACAATTTGTTTAAATATTCACCCAATATTTAATTAAATATTGTAGGACATTTCAGTTGGTTCTAATTTGAGGCTGTTACAAATGAAGTTGCTGTGAACAATTATGTAGAGATTTTTGTGTGAGCATAGTTCCTATTTCTCAGGAATAAAGACTCAGCAGTGTAATTGGCATATCATATGGTCAGTAGGCTTTTCTTTGAGTTGTGTTATTTAAGAAACTGCCAAATTACTTTCCCAAGTGGCTGTACAATTTTACATCCTCACCAGCTCTGAATGAGAGAGCCAGTT
This sequence comes from Homo sapiens, assembly GCF_000001405.40. NCBI lineage: Eukaryota > Metazoa > Chordata > Mammalia > Primates > Hominidae > Homo > Homo sapiens. The sequence continues at coordinate 124,322,910 of NC_000006.12, forward strand.
TCTCCACATCCTCACCAGCATTTGGTATGGGCATATATTTATTTTAATTTTAGCTGTTCCAATAATTATGTAGTGATATCTCATTGTAGCCTTAATTTGCATTTCCCTAATGGCTAGTGATACTGAAAATGTTTTTCATGTGCTTATTTGCCATCTGCATATCCTCTTCAGTGAAATGTCTTCATAACTTTTCCTCATTTCTGAATTGTATTGTCTGGTTTTATATTATTAACTTTTGGATTGTTTAAATATAATAAATATAAGTTAGCTGCCAGGTATGTGGTTTACAAATATTTTCTCCCATTCTGAAGCTTATCTTTTCATACTTTTAGTAGGGACTTTCACAGAATAAAAGTAATCGATTTTGATTAAATCCAGTTTATCAGTTTTTTTGTCTTATGAATTACGTTTTTGGTGTCATCTAAGAACACTGCCAACTACTCATTCTCAAACATTCTGTCCTACAAAATCTTAGAAAAGTTTTATAAATTTGGAAAAGTTTTAAAGTTGGTTTAGCTGTTTTTCATTTAAATCTCATCCATTTTGAATTAATTTTTGCATAAGATATACAGTTTAGGTCAAGGCTCATTTACTGCATGTGGATATTTAATTGTTCCCATAGTATTTGTTGAAAAGACTACTCTTTCCCCCCACTTAATCACTTTTGTACCTTTCTCAAAAATTAGGCATGTTCGTGTGGGGCATTTCTGGGTTTATTAGTATGTTCCATTTTTCTATATGTCAGTCTCTCTGCCGAAACCACACTATCTTGATTACAATGGCTATATATTAAAACTTAATATTGGTACAGTAATTTCTCTCACTTTCTTCTTTTGAAAGATTGATTTAGCTGTTTCAATTCTTTTAATTTTTTCTTTTTTTTTTTTTTTTTTTCTGAGACGGAGTCTCGCTCTGTCACCCAGGCTGGAGTTCAGTGGCACAATCTCGGCTCACTGCAAGCTCCACCTCCTGGGTACATGCCATTCTCCTGCCTCAGCCTCCCGAGGAGCTGGGACTACAGGCGCCTGCCACCACACTCGGCTAATTTTGTTTTTGTATTTTTAATGGTGACGGGGTTACACCGTGTTAGCCAGGATGGTCTCGATCTCCTGACCTCGTGATCCACCCGCCTCAGCCTCCCAAAGTGCTGGGATTACAGGCATGAGTCACTGCACCAGGCCTTCTTCTAACTTTCTGTAAAAATTGTACAGTAATTTTATCTATATTTGTAAACAGTCTTGGTGGGATTTAAATGGCAATTTCTTTAAAACTGTATCCCAATTTGAGGATAATTGGCATCTTTACTACGATGAGTCTTTTAATCCATGAACATGGTATGTCTCTTCATTCATTTAGATCATCTTTGATTTCTTTCATAAGTGTTTTGTAGTTTTTACCATACAAATTCTATACATTTTTCTAGATTTATACCTAAGTATCTGAGGCCTTTTTTTAGCAATTGTAAATGTTATTCTATTTTTAATTTCTGTGCTTATTGCTAGTATATAGGAATAAAATATAATGATGTCATAGTCTGTGATCTTAACTCATTTAATATTTCTAATTTTTTTGTGAATTTCTTCTGAATTCAGTATAGAAAATTATAAGTAGATTCAACTGAATTCCTTTTTTTCTGATCTGTCTTTTAATTACTTTTCTTGCATGATTGTGCTGGCTAGAAATTCTAGTACTGTGTTTAATAGGAGCAGTGGGACCAAACATTCTTGCTTTATTTACAGTCTTATGGGGAAAGCATTCAGTCTTTTACCATTAAGTAGAATTTTAGTTGGTATGTTTTGGAAGTTTTTTTTTTATCACATTGAGGAAATTCACCTATATTTGTATTTTTCTGAGATTCTTAAATCATGAATTAGTGCTGAATTTTTTCAAATGTTTTTTCTACATCAAATGATATAATCATGCAATTTTTTTCTTCCTTAGCCTATTATTATTAAATGAACTTTTCATCCCTTGAATAAACACTACTTGGTCATAGTGTATTTAATATGTATACATTGCTGAATTTCCTTGGTTAATATTTTGTTAAGGATTTTTGCATCTATGATCATGACAGATATTTCTATGTAATTCTCTTCTTGTCTTGTACAACTTTACATATATAAATTTAACAATTTAAATACAAGGGGCCAATTCTTTAAAGGCATAAAGAGCCAATTCATGAAAAATGAAATTAATGATTTGAATAGCCTCATCACTCTTAAATAAATTTAATTTATTATTTAAAAGCTTCCATAAGGAAATTTTCAGGCTCAGACAATTGCACTGGAGAATTGCACCAAAGGTTCAATGTAGATTTAACACTGATTCTACAAAATTTCTTCCAGAAAATAGAAGAGGAGAAAACACTTTGCAATTCATATTATATTGCTAGTGGGGATGTAAAATGGTTCAAATACTATGGAAAACAGTTTAGCAGTTTCTTTTAATGACATACTCTGTGACCCAGCAATACCACTTCTAGGTATTTACCCAAGAGATGTTGAAAAAACATGTCCACAGAAAGTCTTATATATGAATGTCAAAAGCAGACTTACAACTCATAATAACTAAAAAAACAGGAAAAAAATTGTAATACCCATCAACTGATGAATGAGTAAACAGGTTAGATGTATTCATAAAAAATAATACAATAAAAGACAATAAGCTACTGGCACATGCAATAATATTGGTCAATATCAGAAACATTATGTGGAGTGATAGAAGCCAGATACTGTATATTTTACGGTTCCATCTATATGAAGTTCTAGCAAAGGGAAAACTAAGCTATATTGACATAATCAGAACAGTGGTCTTCTCAGGTTATGGTGATTATTAGGGGTGTTAGAAATGTTTTATGTCCTAATGTGGGTGCTGATTATATGGGTTTATATAATTGTTAAAACCCAATAGCACCCTTAAAATTTATGCATTTTATCACTTGTAAATTATACTTCAATGTAAAAAGCAATACTTTTACTAGCATATGTCTCAATGTTTTTATTTTATTTTGATGATTAATATGTGGAATTGAATTCTCTTTTAAGAAAGTTTTATTGAATTAGAGTTTATATATTTTTGGTTACAGTCTTTGATTTTATTCTTTGGTGACTCCTGTTTCTGTGTGTGTGTATGTATATGATATTTTTTCAAATTTTTTTACTTCTTTTGTTATTTTTATTTTATCCTTTATACCTTTCTATTTTTGTTTGTTTATATAAATTTTAATTCCTTCTGAAGGATTTTTTTTTTCGTCTAACCATCAAATTTCTGAGCTTTTCTGTTCTTTCAAAGCTCTTTTTTTTTTCATTTATTTTAGCTCATTTTAAAGTATTAGAATGCACTTTTTACTTTTGTGGCCACTTTTTTATGGTGATTTTACTTTCATCTTTATCTTTCTAGTTTTTAAAAAAATATAATTTTCAGGACTTTTAGTAAGAGATTCCTGTGGTGAATGCAGAGATGAACCAAAATGTCTTTCACAGCTTCCTCACTCCAGGGTTGCCTCCCCTCCTGTTACCATGAACACCTCAAATTATAGCCTTTCTGTGTAGCCATGTCTCTGCCTCTCAGAGCTAAGCCCAATTCAAAAGGTTATCTCCTCAATTCTATTTTTCAAGACAATGCTTCATCTTTAGATTTGCAGTTACAGGACTTTGCCAGATCTGCTCTCTGGATGCATTTCCTCTACTATTTACTCACCCTTACCTCCAGGGTTCTAGCTCTGCTCATTTTTGTTTTACTTCTAGCAGTGTTCCTTCAGGGTACTGCTCTATACTTCTAGATAGTTCTGAGATCCTGGAGATAGACTTGCCAGATAAAATATAGATGCCTGGTATAATTAGATTTTCTGGTAAACAATAATTGTTTAATGTAAATATGTCACATACAATATTTTTGTTTCTTAACTTGAGTAATTCTACCAGGAGGGCATAGGTAACCATAGCAGTGTTCATCTTTCCCCATTCTTCCCTCTCCCAGCTCCCCTTAGTGACCTTAGCCACTTAGTTTTTGTACCCATATATGATTTTCCTATGTTTTTGACCTTTCCAAGAAACTGAGATCCAGCGTTCTGATCAATGTGAGATTCTTGCCAATAGGAGTGAGTTTTATTTACAATTGAGCAGTTCTGTTGCTCATGAGGTTCCTCAGACTATTTTTTTTTTTCATTTTCTGTCACTTTCATTGCTTGGCTGTATTAGTGGTTTGGCCACACCCACCCATATTCTGAGTTTTTTATAGAACATTCCTAGTCAACAAATTTTTCTGGAAACATATTTTTCTTTTCTTGCCATAGTTGACATGTGTAGTTTCTAAAGGAATTTTGGAGGGATTAAAAACTACATAGCTACATCTCAAGTGTGAGCCAGAAGTAGTAGGAGCCATAGCTTTTAAAATTATATCTTCTATTTTTTCTTTGTGTATAGGAACAAAACTGATTTGATATATGTATCATCTTTCATTGTTGAACTCTTAATTAGCTCTAATCATTTGTCTGCCAATTCTCATGTAAATAATCATATAATCTATAAATAATAAAAGTATAATTTCTTTCTTCCCAACTTTTTAATTTGCTTTTCATATTTTCTTTTGCTACCTAAGGCATCTAATAGAATAGTGAAGAGAAGAGGTGATAGCAAACATTTTAGTCTTGTGTCTATTTACTCAATTTTATAATGGGGATAATAATAGTATCTACTAAACAGAGTTGTTAGAGAATTGAAAGAGGCAATCATAAAATTATGTAAGCAGCATTTAGTACACATTGAACTAGTAATAAATGATAGCCATTATTTTTTTAAATGTCAATAAAATTATTTTGTGTTATACTTATAGAGGTATAAAGTGGTTGAAATAAATTAAAGACCTTGGGAAATAGCAATTAGAATATGTATGTGGATGCACTCACAAATAAGCATATTACTCTGGGCCACATTACATTAAGAAGAAAATATGATCGGAATTAAGAGTAGATATGTAGTAATTTCTTGAATGAATCATGGTTTTCCATATTCTCTTTAAAAATAAAGAGGCTAGTCACATTCAAATTTCAAGTATTTAGATAAACATTCAGAATAAGTACTTTGTAAAACATTGGATTATCATCGCTTCCTTTACAGTGGTGGAAACTTTATAGTTGTAAGTGTACACAGGGAATTAAAGAACAGGAAAGGAACAAAACAATCTAAATGGAAAGAAAGATCCAGCTGCAGAAGCCAGAAGTGAAAGCATGGATATATTATTTAGTAACAGCCTGGATGTACTATACTGCAGGTACCAGCTTTATAGAGATCATCGTACAGATATTATTAATATATTACTGGACATTTGGAATATAAACCTTTAAAACCTGTGTGATGTTTAAATATCTGTGATGTATTTGTTTATTTTACAAATAGAGTATTTTCTATATTGATCCTGGCTTATAAATTTTCACATATAATTTAGCCCTGTTCTTGCTTATTTCTTATTCTACTACTACAGTTTATGCTTATGGTGATTCATCAAAGTGTTCTGTGGAATCTCATTTTGTGTTGGAGAAATTCAGGGGTCTTTCTCTTTGCTATAATCTGTAGTGATTTCCACACATGTATCAGCTACCCTGGGATACAGACTCTGAGATGGAGATTTACATGCAGCAAGCTTACTGAGCTGTGCTCTCAAGAACAAAATCAGGATTGAGCAGACAAAATATTGTAAAAGCAAAGCAGTTGCAACACAAGCACTATTTGGTGTTATAGGGCTCTCTAAAGCCATGGGGGCCTTTCATATATGCCCAAAACTGAGCATATACATCCAAAATTACAGGAATGGTAAGCAGGCGTTTGTACTCCCCGTGGAGCTGTCATTGGATGTAGGCTACCTAAAGGAAGGGGACATGCCATTGAATGAAGAAACTTCCTTTGGCCAGGTATTTAAAAATAAGCCATACTGGAAGAATAAGAGCTTAATCCTAAAGGGGAGATGTGACTGGCACACCACAGGATTCTCTTTTGTCCATAATTTACACTCCGTGGACCCACTTGCTTCAGATAATAATGTCATCCCTTCTGGAAACAACCCCTCCACATTAGTGGTTGGTTTCTTTTCCAAGGTGAATATACAAGATTAGAGAGTAAAACCACAGCCCCACTGCTGCAGATGGTTGTGAGAAAACTGACACATATTGTCTCTGTCCTCTACTATCCTTCCAATCTTTATTCTCCAAACACTCATCTAGCACCTCTACCAGTCTGGCCAGCTTACCTAGTGGGATGATCCAGACCCTCAATCCCAAGGGGTCTATGCCACTGTTCAGCATGCCTGTCAAGTTGTGGCAACTGCTCTGATGCACTGCCATCAAAACTTGGTAAAGAATTAGCAAGCGATGCCTCATTATCTCATCTGGGTGCCAAACATATTCTTTTCTGGACCCAATGATGATCAGGATCTATTACTTCTGCCAGGAGAGTGACTTCTTTTCTTTGTTCCTGATCTCTTAGATCAAAGAATTTAAAGTAACTGGGTGGCAGCTATGGTTTAAATGTAATGGAATTCTGGCTTTATTCCCTAATGGAAGCACTTTTCTCAGCAATGTAGGACCCCCAGATCCACAGAGCCTAATTTGTGGAAATGAGAAACACAAATTCCCCCAAGATTGTCGCTGGGAGTGATGAGCAGAACTACTCCTGGGTCCACTGCTCCACCCCTGGATCCACACATTCTACCTATTGGAGACATAGCACCATGTAACCATCATTCATATAAGACAATTACTGCATCACAGAGAAGACACCTACACTTGCACAGTATCATCTCCAAGTTAGCACCTCATCTGCATCTTCAAAAGCCAGATTGGTCTGTCAGACTGGCAGCATCTAGGTGCTATGTGACCAATGGGTATCTGCTGACTTCCCTCCTTTCTTTACTATAAAGTATGTCTCTAGTAGCAATACAGTATTTTCTAAGATCGTATGTTGTTGGAACAAACATTCTATATGGCCTCAGTGACTGGTTCTTCTAAAGCTTATAAGCAGAAAAGGTAATCCATACTCAGAATATTTCCAATTTTGCCCAGATGAATCTTTCCGACTTCAAGGATGCAAGGGATCCAATGTAATCATCTGTTACTGACTGGCTGTTGGTCTTATCAAGAAGTAGCACCATTTTGGGGATTGAGCATTGCTCTGTTGCTGGCAGATTAGTTATTCAGCTGTGGCTAAATGTGCCATCCCAATTCACCATCAGTGTGCATATTAAGAGTTTCAGTGTTACTGAATGCCAAGAACTATTATCACACCATCTATTTCAAGTGGTGAGGTCCTCATTGCCAGCTATCATGAAGTGATCTAGTGTCTCTTTTCCTGGACAACTTCTGATTTTAATGGTTGTTTGTTCAGTACCTCGGTAATAGACTCTGAGATGGAGATTTGCATACAAGCAATTTATTAGAGTGTGTTTCCAGGAACAATTGTAATGGAATGAGAGAAGCATGACTGGTCAGAAGGAAAAGATTTGCTGCAATTCAGTAGCAATAGAAGCTGATCCCATGTAGAGCACTGAAGCTGGGCTAGTCTTTCATGAATGTCCAGAATTGAGACAAGGACCTGGTAGCCTTGTACCTCCACATCAACCAGTCATGACATGAAGGCTGCACCTGAAGGAGTGCATAACCATGAGACACCTTACTTTGGCTAAGGGTAATTCCTGAGCAAGAACTTGACTGTGAGCTGTCAACAAATAATATTTCCAGCAGCTGGAGGAATAATTAGCATCTCAGTCCTAAAGGAACACATGGGATGTTCCCTTACAGTAGAGGTCCCCAACCCCGGGGCTATGGACTGGTACTGGTCTGTGGCTTGTTAGAAATTGGGCCACACAGCAACAGGTGAACGGCAGGCAAGAGAACATTACTGCCTGAGTTCCTGAGCTCTGCCTCCTGTCAGATCAGCAGTAGCATTAGATTCTCACAGGAGCGCCAACCCTATTGTGAATTGTGCATGCAAGAGATCTAGGTTGCGTGCTCCTTATGAGAATCTAAGTAATGGCTGATGATCTGAGGCGGAACAGTTTCATCCCGAAACCATCCCCACACCCATCTGTCCATGGAAAAATTATCTTCCACGAAATTGGTCCCTGGTGCCAAAAAGGTTGGGACCGCTGCCCTACAGCATCTACTACAATCTGAGTTCTAGAATGCGTTAATTGAATTATGCTTCTTTCAAGTACATATTTGGCACCCCAAAGTTTTATAGGAAAGATAAGTTTGTACTGAAATAAACTGATGATACTTTTTTTCAATTTAGAGTTAGGATCTACTGTAAAACAAAAATCGGCCGGGCACAGTGGCTCACGCCTATAATCCCAGCACTTTGGGAGGATGAGGCAGGCGTATCACGAGGTCAGGAGATCGAGACCATCCTGGCTAACACGGTGAAACCCTGTCTCTACTAAATATACAAAAAAAAAAAAAAAAAAAAAAAAAAAAAAAAAACTAGCTGGGCGTGGTGGCGGATGCCTGTAGTCCCAACTACACGGGAGGCCGAGGCAGGAGAATGGCGTGAACCTGCGAGGCAGACCTTGCAGTGAGCCAAGATCATGCCACTGCACTCCAGCCTGGGTGACAGAGCGAGACTCCGTCTCAAAAAAAAAAAAAAAAAAAAAATCATTTCCCTGTGAAGATGACACTATTAAAGTACCAATAATAAATAGGGCTCAGGATTTTACAAGTTGTTTGGCTGAATTTTCATCATTCCTCACATTTGCTTACCTTGTAACACCTTGTGGCCCTGCATTTGCAAGATGTGTCTCTGCTGAGACTTACGTTCTATAGACAAAGAGCAGGAAAAACACTAAGAAGCCTCATACATAGAAATTCAATCCAAAACCATGACCTCATTAGTAGAGTATTCTAAATACCTGTGCATAGAATTATGAATTTGATAAAGATACAATGGTTATTTCTGGAGCCAAATGATAAAACTTGATTTTTATGCTGATTTAGACAAAACTCAATTTTACCCTTGAGTAGGAGAAAACATTTTTCAGAGGAAGATAGTTTTTAAACTTTTCAGCATTGAATCATATGTTTAAGCTGTGAATTAGTAAATTTGGCCCTAGGGTGATTTAAAAAACTAAACAATCTAAAGATTGGAAGAAGCTAATATATATAGTTTTAAAGACAAAATGGATAAGGATATAGGCTTACCTTCTGAATCAAGGCCTTAGTTTTTAAGTGCAAACTTTGAACTGCAAATAAAATACCTGTCAACGAAGTATGTTCTTGAAAATCCACTTGGCATTTTTCTCAAGTTCATGCATATATATGTGTGTGTGTGTATATACACACACACACACACACAGAGAGAGAGAGAGAGAAAGAGAAAGAGAGAGAGTGTATATATTCTTCATGGATAGTGAAACATAACTATCCATTGTTGGTGCTTGCAGAGCACTCTTACTTGGCCTTCTTTCATCTTTTGGAATGATTACTACACACGACACTCTAATTCAAAGAGTATTTTAGTACTAAATGTTTATTTAAATTTGTACATTTTTGGCATTATTTTAACATATCCTCTAAGGCCCTATCTACTGACACCCTATCTACTGAATTTGATCAACACATTTGATCAAGTAGCATAAGTCTTGCAAATAATGTGTCTACTTGATGGCCATTAGAGGGCCTTATTTTTTTTTCTCATGATATATTCGTTAAGAAATTATAACTACACCCTTTATTAAAGAATTCTTGTATAATGATACAAAAAGTAATCCCAGTGCTGATACTTTTGTTTGATGTCACTCTACAATCATTATTTCCAATAAAAATGATTGACTGTCTAAGTGGCTGACATAAGGAATGAGACATTCTGTTTGTTGCTATCACCACTGTTGGACTTGCCCATGGGCACTGCAGCTAAGACTTGTTATATGAGAAAAGTATACTTCTCCAGAAAAAAATAACAATAAAATCCCTTTGCACTCATCCAGGAATGTTAGTTTCAAAAGTAGATAGAACTAGAAATATCAGTAGATTTCAGATTATACAGGTAGGTTCACAATGGAGTTAAGACTTAAACTCAGGTCTCCAAACTTCTATATATGTCTTCCTATTAAATAACTAATTTAAATAAATATTATTAACAATTGAATTCTAGAAATCTGCCTAGAAAAATTAATATATTTAAATGTCTCAGGATTCAAAAGAAAATGCATATACCAAAAGTCAGTGTGAAAGATTCTATTAAATCCAGTCCACTCAATATAGAATATATGTATAGCACTTGGCCCTCGTGGCAAATTACTTGACACTAATAAATCTTTTCTTTTTAATCAAAAACCTCAATATTAACATATTCATTTCCTGTTGCTAAATAACAAAGTACCACAAACCCAGAGGCTTAAATTAACAACCATTTACTATCTCACAGTTCTAGGGGCCATCATTCTGCCTACCACACTTAAAATAGGGAATAAAAAATAAATGAACTTAGGCTGGGTGCAGTGTCTCATGCCTGTAATCACAAACTGGGAAGCCAAAGCGGGGGGATCACCTGAGGTCAGGAGTTGGAGACCAGCCTGGCCAACATGATGAAAACCAATCTCTACTAAAAATACAAAAATTAGCTGGGCGTGGTGGTGGGTGCTGGTAATCCCAGCTACTCAGGAGGCTGAGGCAGAAGAATCACTTGAACCTGGGAGGCGGAGGTTGCAGTGAGCTGAGATCACACCACTGCACTCCGGCCTAGGTGACAGAGTGAGACTCAGTCTCTAAATAAATAAATAAATAAATAAATACATAAATAAATAAAATAAACTTAAGAAAAATGCCAAGCAGATTTTCAAGAACACACTTTGTTGGTATTTTATTTGTAGTTCAAAGCTTGCACTTAAGAACTAAGGCTTTAATTCAGAAGGTAAGCCTATACCTTTATCCTTTTTGTCCTTAAAAGCTAGAAATGAAATCAAAAGGATATTTTATTGGATACTATGACCATATTCAGATTACAAAGTCATAGCCAAAATATGCATAACTTAAAACTGAATTATGCTTTTTGTTAAAGCAAGTACTTTTAACAGTTTTTTATTTTAAATTGACCATTTTAAAAAAAAGTTTTTATATTCCATGATAATTTACTTTAGCTCTTCTGAGAGCAAGCTTTCCTGCTATCCATGTTTCCGTCTTATGTGGTATGCATTTAAATACAGATATTTCATTAATTAAAAGTCTCGATGATTTTAAGTATTTCTCTGTAACACTGAATCAATATTTAGATTTGAGCACATGGTTCTCTCTTCAGGAGATTTTATTTCTCTGCACTTCTCAGTGTACCAGAACCCTTGAGCCCAAAATACCAGTATACTAATGTAATGTTCAATGTATAATATAATGTATACATGTGATAGGTAACATCCAAAGGGTTCTCCTTGCCTGCTCCCCAGACAGAGTCGATTTATCCGGACAGGAGAATAGAGAGTTTAATTCATGCAATGCTGGCTGAACACAAGACTGGAGTTTTGTTATTACTCAAATCAGTCCCTTCGAAAATTTGGAGACTAAGGTTTCTTAAAGAAAGATAATTTGGTGGGTAGGGGGCCAGGGAGTGCAGACTACTGATTGGTCAGGCTGTAGCTGTCATTTGCACTGAGTCAGTCGGTTCCTGGTGGGGGGCACTAGAAGACCAGATAAGCCAGTTTATAGATCTGGGTGGCACCAGCTGATCCAACCAGTGCAGAGTCTGAAAAATACTTCAAACATGAATCTTAGGTTTTATAATACTAATGTTATCTATTAGAGCAATTTGGGAGATTAGTGATCTTGCGGCATCTAGCTGCATGACTCCTCGCCAGAACTTCTAATTTGTGGCTAATTTGTTAATTTTACAAAGGCAGTCTGGTCCCTAGGCAAGAAGGGGGTTTGTTTTGGAAAAGGGCTATTGTCATCTTTATTTCAAAGTTAAACTGTAAAATGAGTTCCTCCCAAAGTTAGTTGAGCCCACGCTCAGGAATGAACAGCTTGGAAGTTAGAAGCAAGATGGAGTCAGTTAGGTCAGATCTTTTTCACTGTCATAACTTTCTCACTGTTATGATTTTTGCAAAGGTGGTTTCACTGAAAATTCACTAGATATAGAAAGAGTGAGCTTTTGCTCTTGACGGTATCCAACCAAGACAGGTATTTAGAAGACAGGTATCACACGAAATATTGGTAAATGCCTATCCTGTCACTTGTGTAGGCAGAAAAAAAATATGCACCCAGTAAAAATTTAGATAGAAATCTTTTTTATATAAAAGCAAATTGGGAAGTTGTATTGTAGCAATTTAAAATGTTTAGAAAAATGTTATGACTCAGCCTACACTTATAATCTAATACCATACAAAAGACTCAAAAGGAATGAGGATTTCTTAATGTGTTTGCCTAAAACAAGATTTTATATATAGAGAGAGATTGATTGACCTGTATCTGTATTTGGATACTTTTAAACCAAACACAATGAACAGATCTTTTTAAGGTTCTACTGATTGATGTCTCATATTTCCCAATTAAGATAATTTACATATTTTAGAAGCTGTTTACATGATTCTTAGAATTGCTTTGAATTTGAAATGAAGGCTGGGGGATAGGACAGCTGAAATGAGATTAAAGCATCTCTGATGAGAGGAAACCACTTATTTTTCCAACTCTAAAAGGGAAGAATAGTAGACTATGCTTATTCAAAAAAATTTACAACTACCACACATCTACCATACCTTAGTAAATGATAATTATATAAATTTTGAAAATATTATTAACTTTCTATTTTTGGGTCTTTAAAAGTTCCTGATTTCCTTATTCTAATATTCTTAACATTCTCTACAATATTTTTTCGTCTTTCTCAAAACACAGATGTATGATATTTCCAATGAGACATCTAATATTACATGTATTTTTCCTCTTTACTGGTTAAGTTGAAACTTGCTGATTGGTTGGAACACACTTTATCTATTTTTTTGTTTGCTTCTTTGTCTTATCTTTCTGTTTTTCATGCCATTCCTCATAGACTAAGATCTAAAATCTAATATTTACTTAGGGAAAACTATGATTGCTAAATTAATTCTCTATTTAGTTGAATTTGTATCATCTTACTGAAGCAAAGGGTTGGGTGTTTCTCTAGAAAACAAGAGACTCATAAAAATATAAAATACCAATAATTCACTTTTACATATTAAAGAAAAGCAAAATGAAACAGAAAAGCAAAATGAAACAGAAAAGCTGTATATAGGTTGTAGTGGCAGATACCTCTATTCTTCTGTTAACAGAATCCTAATTTGCTCCAGGAGTTTAGAGGAACAGCAAAGCTCTCAGGCAGGTCAAATCATCGTGCAGTTCCAAGGGATGCATTACAATTGATTAAGCAGCCATAATCATCCCAAACTTTTTTGCCAGTGGTTTAATTTGGGGTAGGCTTGTTACAAATTTCAGCTAATGAGATGTAAGAAATCTCATGTGTGCCTCTCTAGGAAGAGTTTTCCTTCCTGGAAGAACAGAGTGTTATACAAGGAAAGGAGCTTTTTTCTCCTGCCTAGTGCCTTTCTATGTGTCTAATGTGTTACTTTGTGGGGATTTGAAAGAAAATCCCAGAAGTATAGATCTAGAGCTCTGATAGCATTGAGCCATTTTGTCAACAGTAGCCCATTTCCAGACTTTATATATGAGAAATTTTTTTAAACATAGTATTTAAACCACGTGTAATTTAGTATTTTCTTATGTGTAGCCAAAAGTACTTCTAACTGAAATAGTTTGTTTTTTTTTGTTTGTTTTTTTTTTGAGACGGAGTCTTGCTCTGTCACTAGGCTGGAGTGCAGTGGCTAGATCTTGGCTTACTGCAACCTCTGCCTCCTGGGTTCAAGCAATTCCCCTGCTTCAGCCTCCCAAGTAGCTGGGACTACAGGCATGCACCCCACACCCGGCTAATTTTTTGTATTTTAATAGAGACAGGGTTTCACCATGTTGGCCAGGATGGTCTCGATCTTCTGACATTGTGATCCACCTGCCTCGGCCTCCCAAAGTGCTGGGATTACAGGAGTGAGCCACAGCACCTGGCCTGTTTTTCATTTTTTAATGAATCTTACCAAAGTAATTATGATACTAATAGATTGGAACCCTGCTTTTGTTGATAGTCACTGGAGAGCTGTTAGATCTTAAAAATATATGTGCTTCTAAAATGGGGGAAAATACAAAGCTGCAAAGCTTTAATTCATATTAATCATTTATGATGTACCATCAATAAATTTATTTAAATTTGAAACTTCACTCTCCAAATGAGCATTTGCAATACAAAAAAATACTCGCTGGGTGTGGTGGCTCACGCCTGTAATCCCATCACATTGGGAGGCCAAGATGGGCAGATCCCTTGAGCTTAGGAGTGCGAGACCAGCCTGGATAAGATGGCAAGACCCTGTCTCTACGAAACTACAAAATAATAATAATAATTAGCCAGGCATGGCTGTACACACCTGTAGTCCCAGCTGCTCAACAGGCTGAGGTAAGAGGACCACTCTAGCCTAGGAGTTGGAGGGTGCATTGAGCCGAGATTGCTCCACTGCACTCCAGCCTGGGTAAGGGAGTGAGACCCTGTCTCAAAAAACCAAACCAAATAAAAAAACAACAATAAATAAACTTAAGCACCTAGTTTAGAATTCTGTAAGAGAAATGCAAACCGAGTGATCACTGCCTCCTTGATTTGTCCACATTATCTAAAATTGCTGAGCAATTAATTGGATCAGCCACATGATATTCAGAAGCTCCCTATAGGTGACTATAGAATATACAGACTCCTGGGGAACTCTAGTTACCCTGTTGAGCAGGTTGAGCAGACAGACTATTTTTGATACATTAGCAAGCCTATCTTTTTGAAAAGAAATTGTGTACTATATATGTTTTTCTGAGCAAAACACTTCCCAATAGTCTCACAGGTAATAGTTTACAGATGTGCTGGGATGTTGAGCTCCTCATGAGGAACAAGGGGTGGCTAGAGTCCTTGGGTTAGTCACTTTCAGCTGCTGCAAGCTATCTTTTTTGTTTACATTGGTGTACCTTACGCATAGTATCATTGTCTATGAGTGCTATGAATTTTTTCATGAAGCACAGTAGAAAAACTATAATTAAATATATGGTTAATAATGCTTCTGTTTAAAATTAATTACTTATCACAAGGGGAAAGGACTCAACACTTTTAGCTATCCCAGGATACATCAGTTAATAAGAATCACAGATGCCTTCGAAGTGGTCAAAATGGTCATAAAAATCTAAGAACATAGCTAAAAGTGATGCTCTCCACTCACTTTTCTGGGCCAAATACAGCAGTATTCATTTATAGTGTTAAAATTTGTCAAAAAGTCATAGTGAAGAATATTTGGTATGAAAACTAAAATGACAGATATTAAACAATTAGTAATTTAAACTCTCTCCCAATTTTTAAGGGAGCAATGATAGGTGATAAGTGTAGAGCTGCTACTTGGTTATTAGAATTTTAATATTTTTGATGATATCATGTAATTCATTATTCTAACTAAAAAGTATTACACCGTCATACTGATGATGATTATCACTTGCTTTTCTCCTTCTTTGCTTTCAAAGTTTGTTGCAATAAAAAGTTATTTGATTAGGTATATTTTTCTAGGCGCTTAACTCATTTTGACAATTTTTTCACAAGTTTGGAAATATTCAGAACTCTAAATTTATTTATTTCTGCATCCTAGAACTTTATTCTAAAAACAAACAAAAAAAGTCTTATATTGTTAGAATGTTGGAAATACACTGAGAATTTGCAGAGATGCTTATGAAACAACAGTACCTCATTTCCTGTCATAGACCTTCACAGTAATTACATCAGCCAAATAACCAAAAAAAAATTTTCTATTTGCATGCCATTTAAAGATTAGCAATGGACTGATTCTGAAGTAGTGATGTAATTGCCTAAAAGGAGTGAATCAATTTTGAAATTAATTACACTACTCCACAAGTATTTAGATATTACACTCTTCAGCATTATATTTTAGTGACAGAGAGGTTAGGTGGGGAGAGATTTTGGTGGGTGTACTAGTTTCCCATGGCTGCTGTAACAAATTACCACAGATCATTACAAACTTGGTGGTTTAAAACTGCAGAAATTGGCCGGACCCAGTGGCTCACGGGCTGGGTGCAGTGGCTCATGCCTGTAATCCCAGCATTGTGGGAGGCCAAGGCGGGCGGATCACGACATCAAGAGATTGAGACCATACTGGCCAACATGGTGAAACCCTATCTGTACTAAAAATACAAAAAGTAGCCGGGCGTGGTGGCGCGCACCTGTAGTCCCAGCTACTCACCCGGGAGGCTGAGGCAGGAGAATCGCTTGAACCCAGGAGGCAGAAGTTGCAGTGAGCCGAGATCGCACCACTGCACTCCAGCCTGGCAACAGAATGAGACTCCATCTCAAACAAACAAACAACAACAACAACAAAAACTGCAGAAATTTATTCTTCTGGAGTCCACAAGTTTGAAATCTGTAGCAATGAGCAGAAATCAGAGAGACTTCAGAGTCTCTGGGGGAAAATTCGATCCTTGCCTCTTCCAGGTTCTGTTAGCTGTGGGATTACCTGGTTTGTGGCCACATTAGTCCAGTCTTTAAGTCCACATCTTCAACCCCCTCTCTGCTCTATCCTCATCATCAATTTCTTTTTGTGTGTGAAATAGGCATCTACCTCCTTCTCATAAGGATACAGGTGGTTACATTGGACCTACGCAGATAATCCAAAATAATCTCTTCATCTCAAAATCTTTAACTTAATTACATCTGCAAAGACTTTTTGGATATTTATTTATTTTTTGCTATAATAGTAACATTCACAGGTCCTAGGGATTAGCATGTGAATATCTTCGAGAGAGCCATTTCCCAGCCTACTATTGTGCGTGTGGAAGGTCGGGGGAGGCCAGGAAGAGGGCCTTAAAGCAATAGAATAAAGAGAGTATCAGACGTATTATATGAAAATCTTCAAATTTACATGACCCTAATTTTTTAAAAACTGTATTATAATACATCTTGACTATGTTCTTTCAATACCTAGGTAATCAGAACCAGAGACAATTTTATTTTATTTTATTTTTTAGTGTTATTGGGCTAATCCAAGAAACTTCAACATAGGGAAAGCCCCTTTTATTAGAATTCTAAAACTGAGACTTCCAAAACCAAATAGATCAATAAATATGACTCATATTATTTGCTGACTGGCCAAAATTAAGTTTATATTTTGATGCCACTTCTAAAAACAAGTAGTGATGAATATGTGACAATGAGACAGAAGTTGCTGTTTTCAACAGTTTGCTGGAGATTATTTTCTTATTATTCATCATTTTGAGATCTATGAATTACACATCTACATCTTAAAGCCTTGTTATAAGGACAAATATACATGAACAAAAATCACTATATGATTATTTTTTAAAAAAACTCATCCCTAGGCCTTTTCTTTTTTTAGCTTTCATTTTAGGTTCATGGGTGCACGTAAAGGTTTCTTAATAGATAAACTTGTGTCATGGGGGTTTGTTGTACATATTATTTCATCACCTAGGTATTAAGCCCAGTACCCAATAGTTATTTTTTCTGCTCCTCTCCCTCCTCCCATCCTCTCCCCCACCAAGTAGACCCCAGTGCCTGCTGTTTCCTTCTTTGTATTCATAAGTTTTCATCATTTAGCTCCCACTTAGAGGTGAGAACATGCTGTATTTGATGTTCTGTTCCTGTGTTAGTTTGCTAAGGATAAGCATGTAAAAGTATAGTTTGGTATTTTTCACCAGTTTTTATGTTTTGTTAACGTTCAAGTTTCTAATTTATTTACATACATGCAGGGTAATGTTTCTATATAACTTAATTTATAATTGTAGGTGTTTAAAGACGCTTCAGTGGCATGCTCCCAGCCTTAGGACTATAGGAATGTAAATATCTTGGCATGAAATGTTTTGCACCAGTAAAGGCAAGCAATTAATCATATACAGGTGTTTTCATGCTGAATGAGTATTATTTTTTCAATCAAAGGGAATTATTTTTCACTTTTTACTTCAAGAAAATTGAATACCTTTGGTATACTGTTTTTATTTGGAGCTTCATAAAACTTAAAAGTCATGTTTATATGTTCATTAAAATAATGCCTGTTGGATGTTCTAACATTGATAGTCTGTCTTAAGAATAGTGTTTAAGCAAAATATTTTCAGGCATGATTTCCAAAAGAGTTTATATGTCTTACTAAACTAAACCGTTTTTTGCAAAATGGAAATTTCTGGGAATTGATCATAATATAAGCAAGAAAATGACAAAAAGCTAAGTAATATTGAAATAAATAATAGTAGTTGAATAACTCACAGTAAATGATTGAACTGACACATATGTTATAGAATACTTAGTGAGACTTTTTAATCAACTGAAAAAAATCAGGTAACAGAATATAGAGCAAGATTCCCATTTCATTTAAACACATATTAAACCATATATTCATAGGAAAAAGAATGGAAACCTGTACACTAAAATGATACAGATGATTACATTAAATATGGCATTTTCTCAATTTCCCTTTTTGATGCTCAAAATTTTAAATATTTTCTAGAATAAGAAATTTCTATAAAGGGGGAAAACAAATCTTATTTTAAAATGAATTAAACTTAATCATTAAAACATCTATGCAAATATAAAATCACAAGAAAGCTTGATCATATGACAGCAGCACTGATAAAAAATGAGAAGGTAGAAATCTGACTTCCTCTATGATCTGCAGCATAATCTATGATTAGAATTGGATTTCTGTCACACTCTGGCTGATAACCTTATCAGAACTTTTATCCCTGACAAACTAGAAGTTATAATAATAGTGTGTTTTTATGTAGGTGTTTTTCTTAAGGGACAGGTTTATATAGGTTGATTTAGATGTAACAGGATTTGTGAATTAGAACACAAGATTTACATCGTAATGTAGACTGCCATTGGTCCTAAAGGAAATAAGTTGCTTTATTTGGGCCACTTTTGCTCTTCATTTATCATAACAATAGGAAAAGAATAAGACCATGGTGAGAATGCCTAAACATTAAATGCTACTGCTATTGGAGATGAGAAAACTAAGCTGAAAATATAATTAACTTTGTACAAACGGTAAATATTGTCCTACTATTTTGACCAGGGATGTTTGTTTTATGAGTATACATTTATATCTATTAAAACACCTTGGCCAGGCACGGTGGCTCACGCCTGTAATCCCAGCACTTTGGGAGGCCAAGGCAGGCGGATCACGAGGTCAGAAGATCGAGACCATCTTGGCTGACATGGTGAAACCCCGTGTCTACTAAAAAAAAAAAATACAAAAAAATTAGCCAGGCGTGGTGGTGGGCACCTGTAGTCCCAGCTACTCAGGAGGCTGAGGCAGGAGAATGGAGTGAACCTGGGAGGCAGAGCTTGCAGTGAGCCGAGATTGCCCCACTGCACTCCAGTCTGGGTGACAGAGTGAGACTCCATCTCAAAAAAAAAAAAAACAAAACACCTTTATTATTAATATTAAAACACCTCATTGTTAAAAATTCTAAACCTTTTTCTTGCTTAAACAAGTCTTTTTTTGTTGTTTTTTCTTTTATTTTCAATACAGGGTCTTGCTCTGTCACCCAGGCTGAAGCACAGTGGGATGATCTTGGCTCACTGCAACCTCCAACTCCAGGGTTCAAGAGATCTTCCCACCTCAGCCTCCTGAGTAGCTGGGATTACAGGAACATGCCACCATGCCCAGCACATTTTTTGTATTTTTTGTAGGGACGGGGTTTCATCCTATTCTAGGCTGGTCTTGAACTCCTGGGCTAAGGATTTGCCCACTTCAGCCTCCAAAAGTACTGGGATTACAAGGATGAGCCACCACACCTGCCCAGAAGATGTTTTATTATTATTATTATTATTATTATTATTATTATACTTTAAGTTTTAGGGTACATGTGCACAATGTGCCAGTTAGTTACATATGTATACATGTGCCATGTTGGTGTGCTGCACCCATTAACTCATCATTTAGCATTAGCTATATCTCCTAATGCTATCCCTTCCCCCTCCCCCCACCCCACAACAGTCCCCAGAGTGTGATGTTCCCCTTCCTGTGTTCATGTGTTCTCATTGTTCAATTCCCATCTATGAGTGAGAACATGCGGTCTTTGGTTTTTTGTCCTTGTGATAGTTTACTGAGAATGATGGTTTCCAGCTTCATCCATGTCCCTACAAAGGACATGAACTCATCATTTTTTATGGCTGCATAGTATTCATGGTGTATATGTGCCACATTTTCTTAATCCAATCTATCATTGTTGGACATTTGGGTTGGTTCCAAGTCTTTGCTATTGTGAATAGTGCCGAAATAAACATACGTGTGCATGTGTCTTTATAGCAGCATGATTTATAGTCCTTTGGGTATATACCCAGTAATGGGATGGCTGGGTCAAATGGTATTTCTAGTTCTAGATCCCAGAGGAATCGCCACACTGACTTCCACAATGGTTGAACTAGTTTACAGTCCCACCAACTGTGTAAAAGTGTTCCTATTTCTCCACATCCTCTCCAGCACCTGTTGTTTCCTGACTTTTTAATGATTGCCATTCTAACTGGTGTGAGATGGTATCTCATTGTGGTTTTGATTTGTATTTCTCTGATGGTCAGTGATGATGAGCATGTTTTCATGTGTCTTTTGGCTGCATAAATGTCTTCTTTTGAGAAGTGTCTGTTGATATCCTTCGCCCACTTTTTGATGGGGTTGTTTGTTTTTTTCTTGTAAATTTGTTTGAGTTCATTGTAGATTCTGGATATTAGCCCTTTGTCAGAAGAGTAGTTTGCAAAAATTTTCTCCCATTTTGTAGGTTGCCTGTTCACTCTGATGGTAGTTTCTTTTGCTGTGCAGAAGCTCTTTAGTTTAATTAGATCCCATTTGTCAATTTTGGCTTTTGTTGCCATTGCTTTTGGTGTTTTAGACATGAAGTCGTTGCACATGCCTATGTCCTGAATGGTATTGCCTAGGTTTTCTTCTAAAGTTTTTATGGTTTTAGGTCTAAGGTTTAAGTCTTTAATCCATCTTAAATTAATTTTTGTATAAGGTATAAGGAAGGCATCCAGTTTCAGCTTTCTCCATATGGCTAGCCAGTTTTCCCAGCACCATTTATTAAATAGGGAATCCTTTCCCCATTGCTTGTTTTTCTCAGGTTTGTCAAAGATCAGATAGTTGTAGATATGCAGCATTATTTCTGAGGGCTCTGTTCTGTCACATTGATCTATATCTCTGTTTTGGTACCAGTACCATGCTGTTTTGGTTACTGTAGCCTTGTAGTATAGTTTGAAGTCAGGTAGCGTGATGCCTCCAGCTTTGTTCTTTTGGCTTAGGATTCACTTGGTGATGCGGGCTCTTTTTTGGTTCCATATGAATTTTAAAGTAGTTTTTTCCAATTCTGTGAAGAAAGTCATTGGTAGCTTGATGGGGATGGCATTGAATCTATAAATTACCTTGGGCAGTATGGCCATTTTCACGATATTGATTCTTCCTACCCATGAGCATGGAATGTTCTTCCATTTGTTTGTATCCTCTTTTATTTCATTGAGCAGTGGTTTTTAGTTCTCCTTGAAGAGGTCCTTCACGTCCCTTGTAAGTTGGATTCCTAAGTATTTTATTCTCTTTGAAGCAATTGTGAATGGGAGTTCACTCATGATTTGGCTCTCTGTTTGTCTGTTATTGGTGTATAAGAATGCTTGTGATTTTTGCACATTTATTTTGTATCCTGAGACTTTGCTGAAGTTGCTTATGAGCTTAAGGAGATTTTGGGCTGAGACAATGGGGTTTTCTAGATATACAATGATGTCATCTGCAAACAGGGACAATTTGACTTCCTCTTTTCCTAACTGAATACCCTTTATTTCCTTCTACTGCCTGATTGCCCTGGCCAGAACTTCCAACACTATGTTGAATAGGAGTGGTGAGAGAGGACATCCCTGTCTTGTGCCAGTTTTCAAAGGGAACGCTTCCAGTTTTTGCCCATTCAGTATGATATTGGCTGTGGTTTTGTCATAGATAGCCCTTATTATTTTGAGATACGTCCCATCAATACCTAATTTATTGAGAGTTTTTAGCATGAAGGGTTGTTGAATTTTGTCAAAGGCCTTTTCTGCATCTATTGAGATAATCATGTGGGTTTTGTCTTTGGTTCTGTTTATATGCTAGTTTACATTTATTGATTTGCGTGTATTGAACCAGCCTTGCATCCCAGGGATGAAGTCCACTTGATCTTGGTGGACAAGCTTTTTGATGGGCTACTGGATTCAGTTTGCCAGTATTTTATTGATGATTTTTGCATCAATGTTCATCAAGGATATTGGTCTAAAATTCTCTTTTTTGGTTGTGTCTCTGCCAGTCTTTGGTATCAGGATGATGCTGGCCTCATAAAATGAGTTAGGGAGGATTCCCTCTTTTTCTGTTGTTTGGAATTGTTTCAGAAGGAATTAGTACGAGTTCCTCCTTATACCTCTGGTAGAATTTGGCTGTGAATCCATCTGGTCCTGGACTCTTTTTGGTTGGTAAGCTATTGATTATTGCCACAATTTCAGATCCTGTTATTGGTCTATTCAGAGATTCAACTTCTTCCTGGTTTAGTCTTGGGAGAGTGTATGTGTCGAGGAATTTATCCATTTCTTCTAGATTTTCTAGTTTATTTGCGTAGAGGTGTTTGTAGTATTCTCTGATGGTAGTTTGTATTTCTGTGGGATCGGTGATGATATCCCCTTTATCATTTTTTATTGCGTCTATTTGATTCTTCTCTCTTTTCTTCTTTATTAGTCTTGCTAGCGGTCTATCAATTTTGTTGATCCTTTCAAAAAACCAGCTCCTGGATTCATTAATTTTTTGAAGGGTTTTTTATGTCTCTATTTCCTTCAGTTGTGTTCTGATTTTAGTTATTTCTGCCTTCTGCTAGCTTTTGAATGTGTTTGCTCTTGCTTTTCTAGTTCTTTTAATTGTGATGTTAGTGTGTCAATTTTGGATCTTTCCTGCTTTCTCTTCTGGGCATTTAGGGCTATAAATTTCCCTCTACACACTGCTTTGAATGTGTCCTAGAGATTGTGGTATGTTGTGTCTTTGTTCTCGTTGGTTTCAAAGAGCATCTTTATTTCTGCCTTCATTTCGTTATGTACCCAGTAGTCATTCAGGAGCAGGTTGTTCAGTTTCCATGTAGTTGAGCAGTTTTGAGTGAGTTTCTTAATCCTGAGTTCTAGTTTGATTGCACTGTGGTTTGAGAGACAGTTTTTTATAATTTCTGTTCTTTTACATTTGCTGAGGAGAGCTTTACTTGCAACTATGTGGTCAATTTTGGAATAGGTGTGGTGTGGTGCTGAAAAAAATGTATATTCTGTTGATTTAGGGTGGAGAGTTCTGTAGATGTCTATTAGGTCCGCTTGGTGCAGAGCTGAGTTCAATTCCTGGGTATCCCTGTCAACTTTCCGTCTCATTGATCTGTCTAATGTTGACAGTGGGGTGTTAAAGTCTCCCATTGTTATTGTGTGGGAGTCTAAGTCTCTTTGTAGGTCACTCAGGACTTGCTTTATGAATCTGGGTGCTCCTGTATTGGGTGCATATATATTTAGGACAATTAGCTCTTCTTGTTGAATTGATCCCTTTACCATTATGTAATGGCCTTCTTTGTCTCTTTTGATCTTTGTTGGTTTAAAGTCTGTTTTATCAGAGACTAGGATTGCAACCCCTGCCTTTTTTTGTTTTCCATTTGCTTGGTAGATCTTCCTCCATCCTTTTATTTTGAGCCTATGTGTGTCTCTGCATGTGAGATGGGTTTCCTGAATACAGCACAATGATGGGTCTTGACTCTTTATCCTATTTGCCAGTCTGTGCCTTTTAATTGGAGCATTTAGTCCATTTACATTTAAAGTTAATATTGTTATGTGTGAATTTGATCCTGTCATTATGATGTTAGCTGGTGATTTTGCACATTAGTTGATGCAGTTTCTTCCTAGTCTCAATGGTCTTTACATTTTGGCATGATTTTGCAGCAGCTGGTACCGGTTGTGCCTTTCCATGTTTAGTGCTTCCTTCAGGAGCTCTTTTAGGGCAGGCCTGGTGGTGACAAAATCTCTCAGCATTTGCTTGTCTGTAAAGTATTTTATTTCTCCTTCACTTATGAAGCTTAGTTTGGCTGGATATGAAATTCTGGCTTGAAAATTCTTTTCTTTAAGAATGTTGAATATTGGCCCCCACTCTCTTCTGGCTTGTAGAGTTTCTGCTGAGAGATCAGCTGTTAGTCTGATGGGCTTCCCTTTGTGGGTAACCCGACCTTTCTCTCTGGCTGCCTTTAACATTTTTTCCTTCATTTCAACTTTGGTGAATCTGACAATTATGTGTCTTGGAGTTGCTCTTCTCGAGGAGTATCTTTGTGGCGTTCTCTGTATTTCCTGAATCTGAATGTTGGCCTGCCTTGCTAGATTGGGGAAGTTCTCCTGGATAATATCCTGCAGAGTGTTTTCCAACTTGGTTCCATTCTCCCCGTCAGTTTCAGGTACACCAATCAGACACAGATTTGGTCTTTTCACATAGTCCCATATTTCTTGGAGGCTTTGTTCGTTTCCTTTTATTCTTTTTTCTCTAAACTTCCCTTCTCACTTCATTTCATTCATTTCATCTTCCGTCACTGATACCCTTTCTTCCAGTTGATCGCATCAGCTCCTGAGGCTTCTGCATTCTTCACGTAGTTCTCGAGCCTTGGCTTTCAGCTCCATCAGCTCCTTTAAGCACTTCTCTGTATTGGTTATTCTAGTTATACATTCATCTAAATTTTTTTCCAAGTTTTCAGCTTCTTTGCCTTTGGTTTGAATTTCCTCCTGTAGCTCGGAGCAGTTTGATCATCTGAAGCCTTCTTCTCTGCACTCGTCAAAGTCATTCTCCGTCCAGCTTTGTTCCGTTGCTGGTGAGGAACTGCGTTCCTTTGGAGGAGGAGAGGCGCTCTGCTTTTTAGAGTTTCCAGTTTTTCTGCTCTGTTTTTTCACCATCTTTGTGGTTTTATCTACTTTTGGTCTTTGATGATGGTGATGTACAGATGGGTTTTTGGTGTGGATGTCCTTTCTGTTTGTTAGTTTTCCTTCTAACAGACAGGACCCTCAGCTGCAGGTCTGTTGGAGTTTGCTAGAGGTCCACTCCAGACCCTGTTTGCATAGTTAGCAGCAGCATTGTCTGCAGAACCGTGGATTTTCGTGATCCGCGAATGCTGCTGTCTGCTTGTTCCTCTGGAAGTTTTGTCTCAGAGTTGTACCCGGCTGTGTGAGGTGTCAGTCTGCCCCCACTGGGGGGTGCCTCTCAGGCTGCTCGGGGGTCAGGGGTCAGGGGCCCACTTGAGGAGGCAGTCTGCCCGTTCTCAGATCTCCAGCTGCGTGCTGGGAGAACCACTGCTCTCCTCAAAGCTGTCAGACAGGGACATTTAAGTCTGCAGAGGTTACTGCTGTCTTTTTGTTTGTCTGTGTCCTGCCCCCAGAGGTGGAGCCTACAGAGGCAGGCAGGCCTCCTTGAGCTGTGGTGGGCTGCACCCAGTTTGAGCTTCCTGGCTGCTTTGTTTACCTAATCAAGCCTGGGCAATGGCGGGTGCCCCTCCCCCAGCCTCGCTGCTGCCTTGCAGTTTGATCTCAGACTGCTGTGCTAGCAATCAGCGAGACTGAGCCAAGATGGCCAAATAGGAACAGCTCCGGTCTACAGCTCCCAGCATGAGCGACGCAGAAGATGGGTGATTTCTGCATTTCCATCTGAGGTACTGGGTTCATCTCACTAGGGAGTGCCAGACAGTGGGCACAGGTCAGTGGGTGCAGTGCACCTTGCATGAGCCGAAGCAGGGCGAGGCATTGCCTCACTGGGGAAGCTCAAGGGGTCAGGGAGTTCCCTTTCCTAGTCAAAGAAAGGGGTGACAGACAACACCTGGAAAATCGGGTCACTCCCACCCCAATACTGTGCTTTTCCGACGGGCTTAAAAAACGGTGCACCAGGAGATTATATCCCACACCTGGCTCGGAGGGTCCTATGCCCAGGGAGTCTCGCTGATTGCTAGCAGTTGTTTTTAAGACAAGATTTGTTAGTACAATGTTCCTTAGGAGTGATTCTAACGTAGTTTATTAGAACTGATTATATTATTGTTGTAGGAAAAAACCGGGTTCTTATCAGAGGACCAGGATAATTTAGACACGTGGACATATTGTAGGGTGAGTAGGGCAGGGTTTATTGGGTGCAAAGGAAAAAAGGGAAACAGGAACCCTCAGCAAAGCAAGAGAGTCCTGTTAGCTGGTTTACCCCCTCACAGATTGAATCCCAGGTTACCACACAGGAAGAGGAGAGCCAGCCTGCTCCCCCCTACAAAGGCGGGAACTTCCCGAGGCTCCACCCCATTCTCCCAGTGCACAGGCCGGTTGGGTATTCTCCAGGGACCCCTTTTTACTTGGCTGCCTCATTATTACATTAAAATTAGCAGCATGATATCTGTGATATTGGTGAGCTGATACTAGTTTTGCATCCTAGTAGAAACAATCACACCTAAAAACATTCCTATAGATTGCATTAATTGTCAATCATTAATACATATAGATAATATTAGGAGAGTTACTCAGTTATATTCTGTAATATTTCCCTGTAGCTTCTGTTGCAGTCACTTGCATCCAGCTGGTATTTAATAAAAGTGAACTCATTCATGACTCACCTCCTTTTCTAATTAAGTTCTTAGTCTTATACTACCTTGGTCTACCTTTCTAATTATTGTATAACCCATGACATATAATAGGGCCATGTCTCTGAGCCTGACCAATATTTTGGCCTTTCATGATTAACAGCCTTAACTAATTTTTATCTTATATAGCTAATTTGATTTCATCATTGGAGCCACAAATACCACAGGGAAGCCATGATGATTCAATTACTTTTTTCAGCTGATAGTTTTAACCATTTCCCTGGATTCTCAAGTTAAGTTAATCTCTCAGATGGTTCACCTGGTGCTTCAGAAATCAATTCTTAAAAGTGAATTTTATCATACAATAGAATTTTTCTCTCATCACAGACAATATCTCAAAGTTTCTGTCTGAAACATAAAATATAAGATTTTCTTCACAAGAAAAAATGAGGCTAAAACAAAATTAGTTTTATAGCAGAAAACTACAAGTTAGGTGGTATCTAGCAATTGTGATACTTTATTATATTAGGTCATCTCTCCAGGGCAGAACATCTTTTCCAATTATACTCAAACTGCATCATTGTCAATTATATCACATCAACTAGTTGTAGCAACAGGGAAGAAGTTTGTACTGATCTTTATACTCTTAAATAACTATGCTGAGTAATTTTAAGAGCAGGGTTTATTGACAAAAATCATAGGCCGAATTACAAGGCAGTACAAAATCTCCATCAATGTTTAGGCAACTAGGCAAAATCCAATTACAGGATATTTGATATAGATAAGTGCCAGCTACTAAAATGAGAAAAAAAATGTAGAAAAGAATAAAAAAAGAAAATAGGATTAAGATAGGAGGTATAAGAAAGATAAATGAGAGAAAATTAATGAGGAAAGTTAAATGAGATAAATTAGATAAAGTCCTGCCTTTGGATAGTGATGCACAAGTAGCAATTACCCTCTGTAGCACTAGGGTGGATTTCTATGTTCATTAAAGGGGTTACACCAGTGTTTTTGGCAAATCTGTAATGAAGGATAGTGCATTGTGAGACTAACTGGATTGTAATGAAATATACAATTAAGTGAAAATAGTGAAAGTAAATGCAAGGATATGAAAGGAACATTTGCTATATTCTTTATGTACATATCCTTCTGAATTACTCTGGAAAAAAGAGGATAAAAAATTATATTCTACTCCAAAGTAATTGCCAATAAATACTGTCAAGAGGCAACTCATAGCTGCGCATGGTGGCACATGCCTGTAGTCCTAGCTATTCAAGAGACTGAGGCAGGAGGATCACTAGAGTCCAGGAATTCAAGGCTGCAGTGAGCTATGATAGCACCACTGCACTCCAGCCTTGGCAACAGAGTGAGACGCCTTCTCTAAAAAGTAAATAAATAAATAAAAATATTTTTAAAAAAGTAACTCATAAAACAAGACATAGAAAATGCTTTATAATTATGTGTTGCACTAAGTTAGAAATAATAAATTGTATTTTAGATCAAATGAAGGTTGGTTTCATGAAATAGCATTCGTCTATACATAATGGCGTTAATATATCAAAAACCCTTAATCTAGTGAATAATATGTTGCATTAAGTAAACAAGTCTAGTTTGCAAGTTCAATATGATGGAACAATGTTTTATATCAGTTAATATGAGAAGTTTGAGAGGCTGAGGCAGGCAGATAGCTTGAGCCCAGGAGTTTGAGACCAACATGGTGAAACTCTCTCTACAAAAAATACAACAAATTAGCCAGGCATGGTGATGCATGCCTGTAGTTCCAGCTACCCAAGAGGCTGAAGTGGAAGGATTACCTGAACCAGTGCAGTTGAGGCTGCAGTGATCCAAGGCCACTGCCTTCCAGCCGGGGTGGCAGAGTGAGATCCTGTCTCAAAAAAACCAAAAAAAAAAAAAAAAGAAAAGAAGAAGAAATCATGTGGGAAGTATATTTTGTAATATCCTAATAAATAAATCTTTGAGGATTACTGCTATTTTATTTATTTATTTATCTATTTATTCATTCGTTTATTTTGAGATGAAGTCTTGCGCTGTCACCCAGGCTGGAGTGAAGTGGTGCGATCTTGGCTCACTGCAACCTCTGCCTCCTGGGTTCAAGTGATTCTCTTGCCTCAAGCCTCCCTAGTAGCTGGGATTACAGGCGTCTGCCACCATGCCTGGCTAATTTTGTATTTTTAGTAGAGATGGGGTTTTGCCACGTTGGCCCACTGGTCTCAAACTGCTGACCTCAGGTGATCCACCCACCTCGGCCTCCCAAAGTGCTGATATTACAGGCCTGAGCCACCGCGCCCGACCCTACTGCTTATTATTTTAACAAGAAGAGATGATGATGTGACATAATCATCATAATAAAATGACAACATATAGTGAAAATTCAAGTATTGTGTACTTTCAAACAGTTGATCATTCCATTCCCATACAAGCCATGGAGTTTGCTACTACTAAGAAGCCTATTTTATATTTAAGTAAACTTAATTGTAATGGGTCATATCACTTGAAGATAGTCAAAGAGCATCCAAGTGACAGAGCCAGATGTTAGGTTCTGTGTTCTCATTCTCTATATGCTATTTATTTGCATGTAATCCATTACCTTTCATATGCTTTCATAAAATTATTAATTTTGGTGGCTAAAACATAAATGTTTCAACTTGATTTTTAACCAAACTAGGTATAATTTACATTTATACATACACATAAATGTAAGTAACTAAGTATAAATGAAGATTCCAAATTTTTATTATATTTTCAACATATAATACTGAAGTAGTGACTATTCCATATATACCATGTGAATACAGATAAACATGGTTAGCATTTAATAAGCATAAAATATAATTTTAGTTATGAAATTAAAAAGCTTCAGCATTGACATTTTTAAATACTATATTGGAAAGAATGCTTGCCGACGACAAATTTTCAGGAGAGTTTGATATGTGTAATACAGTGTCTTTCATTAGCTCATCAGCCATTGCTGAAGTCCTAGTATCCTGCTACTTTGACTTTTAGTAAATAGTGTTTATTTAGCTCTCCATTATAAATAATATGGGGAAAATATGTCATTGTGCACAAAGGAAGTGATAAAACATTATAATCAGTCATGCGTTTTCTATCTCTTGTAATCAGTTAAGTCATTGAAACAAACTTAAATGTCTCCTTAGATCTCTGTTCTATAACTGAAGTTCCTCTCTTGCTACAGCCTGCTTAGCCCCCTAATTCTGTCTCTAGACCCAGCCCTCAACTCATAGAGCTTCTCAAATTCCATATTTTGTCTTGGATCATTTAGTTTGCCCTAACATTATACTCTATTGAGCAACGCACACATTAAGCAGTTAGATGAAACCAACTCCTTTAGAAAACAGTTTTGAGTTATCATTTATTGTTACATAAACTCTTCACGTAGAGCTCTCACTCCTCATACTACATGAATGATCATAGTAAATCTGATAAAAACCGGGTCTGAGAGGGAAGAATGGGTTCTGAATCTGAAAATAATGATTTTCTCCATATTGCTACTTATTCATTGACTTACAAAACATTGTCTTAATAACTATTTTGTGCAAAGTACTAAGTTAGGAACCTAGGAATATAAACAAAAATTAAGAAGTAGTATTTTTAAGGAGATTACCACTGTGCATTGGAGAAAATATGCAAATAATCAGATATAAGACATTTCATATGAAATTAGGAGAAACAAAGTTTGTTGCAGCACTAAGCAGGGCTCAGCCAATTCTGGTTCGGAATCATGAGGGAGGTGATATTTGAATTAACCTTTTAAAAAAAATGATAGGTGGTAAGAAGAGAAAGTAAAAGTATTCAAGAATACAAGGATAATATACAAAGAGGCACAGGCCGGGCGTGGTGGCTCAATCCTGTAATCCCAGCACTTTGGGAGGCCGAGACGGGCAGATCACAAGGTCAGGAGATCGAGACCATCCTGGCTAACACGGTGAAACCCCGTCTCTACTAAAAATACAAAAAAATTAGCCGGGCATAGTGGCAGGCGCCTGTAGTCCCAGCTACTGGGGAGGCTGAGGCAGGAGAATGGCTTGAACCTGGGAGGAGGAGCTCTCAGTGAGCCGAGATCGCGCCACTGCACTCCAGCCTGGGCGACAGAGCGAGACTCCGTCTCAAAAAAAAAAGAGGCACAGAGGTGGGAAATAACTTTCCATCTACATGGAACAGCAAATAATATATGTGTCTGGAATCAAGGATGACTCCAGAGATCAACTGAAACACATGGCTCAAAAGGTAACAAGGTGCAAGATCATGATCATGATCATGGAGGTTCTTGAAGCATAAATTAAAGATGTTGGAACTCACCTAGAAAGGTTGGGAGCCATTGGCATTTGTTTAGAAGGGAAGTGACATGATATCCTCTTGTTTCACTTTTTCAGAATTCACACCTGCTCTTTCCTTTGTTTACAGGATCCTCCCATGAAAGCCCTTCCAACCCCGCATGCTTTTAAGTCCATTCGTTTTAAGCTTGATTCATCTCTTCTGGAAGGTGTTTCTTAACCTCTTTTGTTAAGCTTTGCAGACTCTTTTTCCCAGGACAGGTTATGTACTCCTCTCATTTTCCTGTCTTGTGCTCAGACTTTATATATTTTTATGATTCTTGTATAATAATGATCTATTTTTAAAAAGTCACTCTCATTTGATTTGAGTTCAGGAGGAATTCATCATTGGTCTTTGCATTCTCAGTGTCTTGCTAGCATGTTGCCTTCTGGATGCTTCATACATTTTAACTGACTGAATGATCAGAACTATGTCTTAGTAAGAAAATCTATCATCATTATAGAAGGTACACTAGAGAGAAAATAGAATAAATTTAGGGACACTAGTTAGATGGTCACTGTAATGGGAGATAGTGAAATGATAAAATAAGAAGGTGAATGGAGAAATGAAAAGGAGACACCAAAGAGAGAAAGCTGATTGGAATGGGACAGAGGCAGAAAGACTGATTTGATTATCCTTGACAACTTGGGGAAAGGTTGATCATTGTCCTACACGGAGATGGTTTTGCTAAGGAAACTGTGAGTCTTCTTTTGGTGGGTTGTATCAGACATATATGTTAGAGCACTGAATTTTTTAGATGTCTAGAAACTATAATTATTCACTTTTAAAACAATAATGTGGATTACTATTTTTTTTGTCTTAAAACCTAAAAATTTATCCTTAAGCAGGTTTGAGCTGTAATCCTATGAGTCCATAACAGTAAGAAAAAAAAAAAAAAAAAACTCAACAGTCCAGTCTGGCCAACATGACAAAACCCCATCCCTACTAAAAATACAAAAACTAGCTGGGTGTGGTGGTGCGCACCTGTAGTCCCAGCTATTCGGGAGGCTGAGGGTGGAGAATCACTTCAACCTGAAAGAAAGAGGTTACAGTGAGCCGAGATCATGCCACTGCACTCCAGCCTGGGCAACAGAGTGCGACTTTGTCATTAAAAAAAAAAAAGGAAAGAAGGAAAAAAAAATCTCAACAGAGATAAACGTACATCTAATCCTGTTCCTTAGAGAGAAGCAATATTTAACCTTTCCCACTAATCTTATATTAGGGTGTGCGAAAGTTCGTTTTATTTGAATCATACTCAACTGATTCCAAATTAATTATACGTTATTTCTCTCTTGCTTCTCTACAGTATGCTGTCTGGCTAGTCCTCTGGGTTACGTGGAATGTGTTTGTTATCTGCTTCTATTTGGAGGCTGGGGACCTCTCAAAGGTAATTTACATCTAATTTGCCTGAGTCATCAGTAGGGTGTTAACAAGTCTCTTCCTAAGTAAGGCAGAGTCTCATCCTGTTCTGCTTGCTTAGCTGCACCTCAATGAAAGTAAATTGAAAGGTGTCTTGATTTATATTTCTGCATTTTTATCATTAAAAATATGTCTGGTGAGTCACAAAAATGTACTTTTTCTTAAGCAAAACTAAGTGAACTGTTGCTTATTATAGTGACCAGGCAGTGCACTTTAAAACATTAACCACTGAATGATTTCTGAAGCAAAATGTGAATTTTTTTCAGAGAAAAAAATCTTGAAGATTTCTGAAATCACTTAGTTTGCTTATAACTCTGCTAAACATTGTCCTTATTGATTTTAAATAACAGTGCAATAATTGAAACAGTTAATGGGCTTTGGTTGAATGAAATTGTTACTAGAGGTATATAATATGTTATAGAAATGAATACAATCAACCCTTTATTCTAAATAGGCTAGGAAAACTAAATACTTGCTTTTTTCATTTAGTTTTTTTGTGCTCTGTATGTGTGCATCTTGCTACTATATTTTTCACATGGATGCCCTTACTACACAAATAGTGTAGGCTTCAGATCTCGAACACCATCATCCTTCTGTTAGAATGCAATTAACAGCAAAGAAGTCAAATGAGGTAATCCATTCAAGGTAGTAGCAAATTCTGACTCTTGAGAGAGTTTCAAACTTGTATGTACTTCCTCGTATTTAAAACTTTAAAACATAAAAATTGTAAAATGTTCTTTTACTTACCCTGTATTAGAGCAGAAGGCCCCTGCAAACATGTTGATATTTGTAAAACCCAGAGATACTCACGTGCTTTAAAAGACCAAGAGAGCTAAAAAAAATTTTTTTTAAAGAAAATTCCTCAGGAACTACCTTTGCCTTGTCAAGCTATATATTTTGGAAGGAGAGAGAAGAGAATGGTAATACACATTTATGATCTTACATGCAGGAGTTTCACAAAGCACTCATCATGTGATGTTTGTTTATTAGTTAACTGTGATATGTGGCTTTATATCAAGGAAAAATCATTTTGATTTGTTTTTATTCAATGACAAAAGATGAAGGATCAAATAGGAGGATGACATCATGATATGAGAGAGAACCAAAACTTCTTGGATGTGTAATTTTATGATCAGAATGTGGACAAGTCCTCACCGTGGCTAGCAAAATCTCCCTAGAGGATGCCATTTGTGTGTTTTTTGCAGGGCATCGTTCCCCACACTCTGGTTAGCAGGCAGCCTTTTCAGGAAGGTGCCGTGACCAATGAAAATAAATTGTTCAGTGGCTCTAGGAGGGACCCAGACCAGATTGCTGCTTAAAACTCACATTCGCCTCAGTGTAAGAAAAGCAGACACGCTTTTCCAAGGATTTGAATTCCTTGCCCAATTTATACATCTCTGCTACTCTATAATCCACTTTCTTCAAAGGAATTCCATAGTCGAATGACTTTTAATGATATTTTCAATTTTAAATAATCACCTTAAAAATTGTAAGGCAGGTGTTCAGACATATGGCCTGAGTAAAATGATCCAGCAGATCAGATAATTTGTTTAATATTAAGAAAAGAGAGAAAGAGATTTGAGCAAAGCTGGCTGCACAAAAGTTCTGTAATTGTGCTCACTGCTCCCCATGATGACTGCAGGCACAGAATAAAGCTGGTGATTTCATGACCTCAGACACAGGCATTGAAACCACAGCAAGGGCACTAAGAATTCTTCCAATGTACATGGGCAGATAATTTCTATCCCTTGGCAATGAAACAGTTGATAATATTTTATTTTCTTCTCATCCTATAAACCAAGGCTGGGCTCTGCAGAGCACATGAAAATTTAATAATTTCCTTTTTAACAAATAACCTAAAAAAAAACCATAAAGGGCAAAGTTATATAGTTATCGTTATATAGTTATCTGTACTGGGTTTTTCCTCTCTTTCGTGTTCAAAGCATTTGAAAAAAGGTGTATTTATACCATTTAATTCTTTAGTCGTTGCAACTGCCTCACATTCTTCAGGTAATACAGTGCCAGAAGGAAGCAATGGTAATTGGTAATGGAAAAATGTACAGAAAGATAGAAACTCAAAAATGGTACATATGAAACTTCTGATAATACTAAAAGAATGTAAACCATTGTTTTTCTCAATCCATCAGAAAAAAAAAAGCAATTTGAATGTGTCTACCCTATGAATGGATCAGTTAGTTTGAGGCTGAGGGAGAAATTTGTGAAAAAGAATCAGGGTTGACATTCTGTGGGCTTTATATATGTGAAAGAAATGTATTTATTTCCATGAAATCTTTTGTAAATAAGTGATGGCTTCATAATGGATATTGGTAAGAGGTAATAAAACGTGATAAAACATTAAGGTAAATTTTTGTTACCTGATTAGAGTTTAGAACTTTTCTTTTTTTTATTATTATACTTTAAGTTTTAGGGTACATGTGCACAACGTGCAGGTTTGTTACATATGTATACATGTGCCATGTTGGTGTGCTGCACCCATTAACTCGTCATTTAACATTAGGTATATCTCCTAATGCTATCCCTCCCCCAACCCGCACGCCACAACAGGCCCCTGTGTGTGATGTTCCCCTTCCTGTGTTCATGTGTTCTCATTGTTCAATTCCCGTCTATGAGTGAGAACATGCGGTGTTTGGTTTTTTGTCCTTGCAATAGTTTGCTCAGAATGATGGTTTCCAGCTTCATCTATGTCCCTACAAAGGACATGAACTCATCATTTTTTATGGCTGCATAGTATTCCATGATGTATATGTGCCACATTTTCTTAATCCAGTCTATCATTGTTGGACATCTGGGTTGGTTCCAAGTCTTTGCTATTGTGAATAGTGCCGAAATAAACATACGTGTGCATGTGTCTTTATAGCAGCATGTTTTATAGTCCTTTGGGTATGTACCCAGTAATAGAATGGCTGGGTCAAATGATATTTCTAGTTCTAGATCCCTGAGGAATCGCCACACTGACTTCCACAATGGTTGAACTAGTTTACAGTCCCACCAACAGTGTAAAAGTGTTCCTATATCTCCACATCCTCTCCAGCACCTGTTGTTTCCTGACTTTTTAATGATCACCATTCTAACTGGTGTGAGATGGTATCTCATTGTGGTTTTGATTTGCATTTCTCTGATGGTCAGTGATGATGAGCATTTTTTCATGTGTCTTTTGGCTCCATAAATGTCTTCTTTTGAGAAGTGTCTGTTTATATCCTTCACCCACTTTTTGATGGGGTTGTTTTTTTCTTGTAAATTTGTTTGAGTTCATTGTAGATTCTGGATATTGGCCCTTTGTCAGATGAGTAGATTGCACAAATTTTCTCCCATGTTGTAGGTTGCCTGTTCACTCTGATGGTAGTTTCTTTTGCTGTGCAGAAGCTCTTTAGTTTAATTAGATCCCATTTGTCAATTTTGGCTTTTGTTGCCATTGCTTTTGGTGTTTTAGACATGAAGTCCTTGCCCATGCCTATGTCCTGAATGGTATTGCCTAGGTTTTCTTCTAGGGTTTTTATGGTTTTAGGTCTAACATTTAAGTCTTTAATCCATCTTGAATTAATTTTTGTATAAGGTGTAAGGAAGGGATCCAGTTTCAGCTTTCTCCATATGGCTAGCCAGTTTTCCCAGCACCATTTATTAAATAGGGAATCCTTTCCCCATTTCTTGTTTTTCTCAGGTTTGTCAAAGATCAGATAGTTGTAGATATGCAGCATTATTTCTGAGGGCCCTGTTCTGTCACATTGGTCTGTATCTCTGTTTTGGTACCAGTATCATGCTGTTTTGGTTACTGTAGCCTTGTAGTATAGTTTGAAGTCAGGTAGCGTGATGCCTCCAGCTTTGTTCTTTTGGCTTAGGATTGACTTGGCAATGTGGGCTCTTTTTTGTTCCATATGAACTTTAAAGTAGCTTTTTCCAATTCTGTGAAGAAAGTCATTGGTAGCTTGATGGGGATGGCATTGAATCTATAAATTACCTTGGGCAGTATGGCCATTTTCACGATATTGATTCTTCTTACGCATGAGCATGGAATGTTCTTCCATTTGTTTATATCCTCTTTTATTTCATTGAGCAGTGGTTTGTAGTTCTCTTTGAAGAGGTCCTTCACATCCCTTGTAAGTTGGAGTCCTAGGTATTTTATTCTCTTTGAAGCAATTGTGAATGGGAGTTCACTCATGATTTGGCTCTCTGTTTGTCTGTTATTGGTGTATAAGAATGCTTGTGATTTTTGCACATTCATTTTGTATCCTGAGACTTTGCTGAAGTTGCCTATCAGCTTAAGGAGATTTTGGGCTGAGACAATGGGGTTTTCTAGATATACAATGATGTCATCTGCGAACAGGGACAATTTGACTTCCTCTTTTCCTAATTGAATACCCTTTATTTGCTTCTCCTGCCTGATTGCTCTGGCCAGAACTTCCAACACTATGTTGAATAGGAGTGGTGAGAGAGGGCATCCCTGTCTTGTGCCAGTTTTCAAAGGGAATGCTTCCAGTTTTTGCCCATTCAGTATGATATTGGCTGTGGTTTTGTCATAGATAACTCTTATTATTTTGAGATATGTCCCATCAATACCTAATTTATTGAGCGTTTTTAGCATGAAGGGTTGTTGAATTTTGTCAAAGGCCTTTTCTGCATCTATTGAGATAATCATGTGGTTTTTGTCGTTGGTTCTGTTTATATGCTGGATTACGTATATTGATTTGCGAATGTTGAACCAGCCTTGCATCCCAGGGATGAAGCCCACTTGATCATGGTGGATAAGCTTTTTGATGTGCTGCTGGATTCAGTTTGCCAGTATTTTATTGAGGATTTTTCATCGATGTTCATCAGGGATATTGGTCTAAAATTCTCTTTTTTGGTTGTGTCTCTGCCAGGCTTTGGTATCAGGATGATGCTGGCCTCATAAAATGAGTTCTGGAGGATTCCCTCTTTTTCTATTGATTAGGCTGTCTTTTCTGCTTTTCCTAATGAACTCTCTGCCATATGCTTATGAGTGAAACAGAAATTATAGTAATCAACCAACTCACAGTGTACATTCATATTGAAATGACTTAATTTCAATAATATGATACACAGGACTAACCCTTTTGATCATGTTTTCTTTGTACACATAGAGGTATAGTTAATATATTTTCTTCATTGAAAATTCTATGAAAATCCAACATTATTATTAAAATTTCCATTAACATATTTTAATTACAGTGTCCACAAAATCTAAAGAAAAATAAAAATAATCCACCGGAGAAACTTTTAAATGTTATATCATAGTTAAATTAACAAAATGATGGGAATATAGTATAAAATGATACATAAGATGATAGGAGCAAATAAACATACACATTTCATATAATTATTTCTGCTAATGCTAATGCATTGAGATATTAGTGTTGAAACTAAATATCCTAAAGCATTTAGCAGTGTGTAACTTCCTGGGTTGATATTTTCCTAGATGTCCTGTTAAGGAAACTGAGAAAAAATTAGTCTGTAACCTGAAGTGTCTGGTAACGGTTTGAAATTGCCTTTGGGCATCAAATGTGACATGGGTTATTGAATTAAGAGTTTTGACAATTCCTCATATAGCTTCATTATTCTGTTGTATTATTCTTGGCAATTGTGGTTCCCTTGATCATATATCAAATAGAGAGAAATAAGAACTAACCTCAGCCATCAACTGAGTTGAGGTATTTTCAACACAGAAGAGATATGCTATTTGTTCTGAAGTGATTTTTAAGTTGAAAGTATATAGCAGTAGGAAAGAAAACATATATAATATGGTGATTAATCTATTCATTTCATCACCTGGAAAAACAAAATTTATTAAATTATTTTTTGAATAGTAATACAAAGGGAAGAAAACTTAGTGGTCTTCTGGATTGTCCGTAAAAACCTATATTTTATTGCATGTGATAAAATTATAAATTACTCAGGCTGAAATTAAATACTTACACTTTTCTTCATATTACTATTTTCAGATATGTTTCTACCTTCATAATGTATGGGGCACCATTAGTGAATGGTGTGCCTATCTTTAGAAATAAAACAATAAACTTATAGAGCGTAAAGGATAAACCAAGGGATTATTGTACACTTAAAACAACCCAACTTGTCTTTATTTAACCCTTTGGGACTAGGGATGCAGGTATATCTCTCTCAGATTTCACTATAGTAACAGAAATTTATACCTAATGTTTGTTTCAGAATGAACACATTTAGAAGCAACTCCTAGAAAGCTGTCATATTTTAATAATTTTGATAGTTGCTTCAGAGATCTAGATATAACTTGTCAATTTGAAAATTTGTTATATAAAAAAGTCATGTAACAATGTGGCTTATTTAAGCTTTAGGGAATAAAATTGCACTCTTTTGAATGTAAGAGACAGGAAGGAGATAAAAGTTGTCATATACTGTAGACTATAGGGAACAAATCCTTAAAACCAGATGCAAGTGCAATGTGGAATAATGTACTGTTCCAACAATGTCAGTTTTATTTCTTCTGTAACAAAATGAATAATTCATTTAGAAAGATATCAGATATTTGGATTCTTTTGCTCAATAAAACCAATGCTTGTATCAAAATTTGCTTTTCTGACCTCATATGTAAAAAGATGGTATGCAGAGAAATATGCTGTAATCTTTTTTTATTTGAAAAAATAACTCTTCCTCTTTAGTCTTCTTCATGAGATAAAAATATATGAGCAATTACTATTAAACAAAGACTACCTATAATAATTGATTTAAGACAAAATTTAACAAATATTATGATGATAATATATTGGGTTCATTTTTTAAATTTTGATTTTCTTACTGTAAAATTTATATATCTGAGAAAATTTCAATTAACTATTACTAAAGTAATTAGAAAAAATTTTTATTTCCCAACTATCAAAGCAGATTTTTGCCTTATGATGCAGGGAAAGATATTCGACCTATTATTAATAATTAAATGTAATGTAACTCTTTCCCAAATCTAGAAATGAACCAACCAGTTGGAATTTGGTCAGTCACAATCTCTCTTCTCTCGTTTTCCTTCATAATTCATGAATTAAACTGATTATTTCCTCATTTCTTAAATTCATTTTTCTTTGTTTTATTTTCTGTTTCCTTTTACTACCCCTAAAGTGAGGAAAACAGTTCATGAACCTTTCTTATTCTCTGTCTCCATTCTTTTTCTTGAAAATGCCATTTGCTGACATAAACTATCATCTTTACACATATGTCTACCAGATTTATGTCTTCAGTCTTGACCTTGTTGCTAAGTTAATGTGTCACATCTCCAACTTCCTGCTGGTGTCAGGTCAATTCTATTGTCACCTTAAATTCAAAATGTCCAAAATGATTTATTATCATCCCCAAAGAATCCAACTTCTTTAATTCACTTTCTACTAAGAGAAGAAAAAAGAGATAAAACCAAAATTTATTTTGAAAAAATGAATAAAAAAGGAAAAAGAATTTTATTATTATTATTTTTTTGAGATAGAGTCCCACTCTGTCGCCCAGGCTGTAGTACATTGGTGCACTCTCAGCTCACTGTAGCCTCCGCCTCCCAGGTTCAAGTGATTCTCCTGCCTCAGCCTCCCGAGTAGCTGGGTTTACATATGCGTGCCACCACACTAGGCTAATTTTTGTATTTTTAGTAGAGATGGGGTTTTGCAATGTTCGCCAGGCTGGTCTGGAACTCCTGACCTCAAGTGATCTGCCCTCATTGGCCTCCCAAAGTGTTGGGATTACAGGCATGAGCCACCACGCTCAGCCAGAATTTTTTATGTGGACTACTAAAATCCTTATAAATTGACCATGAGATAAAGCAAGAAATATATGTTTGTATAATGTATCTATTACTTGTTTGTGTGTGTATATTGTAAACTTTAGATACCAACAAGTTGAAAACAACAGAGATCTGTTAAAGTAATGACTACTCAAAAAAAGCTATATTCGAAAAAGATGAGCTAACTTTGTAAACATGCTATACCCTGGGTGCATTTGTTGTTTCTGGTTGGGGCAGGAGGCTAAGTATTCAGGCTTTACACCCTGTTGAATGCTATTTTTTGACAAATGTATAAATCAGCATAGCTTTGAGGGAGGTGGTCTAGTGCACATAGGCAATTTTTCTGTTAAGGCATTAGGCAAATTCTGTACCAGGCTAAAAATATAAATGGAAAAACTCTGTAAATGCATAATGAAAATTTTTCGGCAGTCATGCCAAATTAGTTTGAAGACAGGGAAGGACTCTATAGAATAAACTAGACTTTCATGTGAAAAGATCTGAAGAACAAGCCAGGGGCAAACCAAATACAGACTGAAGATTACCAGAACTAAATCCAGGCTCAACTCAGCACAATTCTTGATTGAAATAAACTGATTACCCATCACTTTATCTCTCTAGTTGAGAGAAAAGAGAAACATCTTAGGATAAAGACACCATTATATTAGACATTTACAGTTTATTTATGTGCATGACATCAGGCAATTGAAAATTATTACAGATGCTAAAAGAAAGAATGTAATGATTGAAAGAGAAGAAGAAGATACACAATTGAAATAGACCAAGAGATGATTCAGATATTTTAATTATCTGGTAAAGATTTTTAAAAACACATAAACAATATATTAGAGAAAATAAACGGGAAAACTGGAACTAATACATTGAAAGAGAAATAATTTAGCCCCAGAGAACTGGAATTTATGTAAAGAATCAAATGGAAATTCTAAGACTTAAAAATATAATATCTAGAAGTAAGAACTCATTAAGTAGGTTTAATAGTAGATTTAAAAGAATAGAAGAGAGGATTAAGGAACTTGAGAAATAATTGATTAACATTCTCCAAACTAAAGCACAGGAAAGGGTTAAAAATACCAAAAAAAAAAAAAAGAGAGAAAAGAATGTCAAAAACATATGGGTTCAACAAAAGATTCAATATGCACATTATTGAATTACCAGGATAAAAAAACAGAATTGGATAGAAGCAATATCTGAAGTGAAGATGACAGAGAATTTTCCAAAATTAATTAGTAACATCAACCCACAGATTCAAGAATACTTTCATATTTCAAGTGTAATCGAGAAAACCAGATTTAGGTATAGATGAACAGAAACATTAAAAATCTAAATCAAAGAGAAGATTATAAGAGGTGCCAAAGATAAAAGACCCAAAGGAACAGCAAAAAGACTGACAGTTGACCTTTCAACAGGAAGGCAATTGAATGACATCTTTAAAGTGCTTTAAAATGCCAACCTAGAATTCTTTACCCTGCAAAAATATTCTTCAACAATTAAGATGAAATGAAAGCATTTTTCAACAACACGTAAGATAAATAATTACTAGCAAACTTTAACTGAAGGAAATACTAAAGGTAGTTCTTTAGGCAGAGTGAGAAAAAAAACACCCCAGAGAGAAAAAGGGAATTTTAGGAAGGAAAGAAGATAATGGAAAGAATAACACAGGTTGTATTGTTAAACACAAAACAATAGCAATAAAATATTTGGGGATTTAAATATTTGTAAAACTCAAATGCATGACAACAATAACACAAGAGGTAGAAAGGAGCTAAAGTGTTCTAAGGTTGTAGCATTATTATGGAAATGTTAATGGTAATATTTATGTTAGATTATAATAGTTCAAGACTAGTAATGTCTAGAGTAACTACTAAAAGATGGCATAACTCCTAAAAACTAAGTATAGGTGAAAAATTAAATAATGAAAATAATTGATTAGCCTAAGCAATGCTAAGAAGGAAGAAATGCTAACAACAACAGAGAGGGTCAATAAGAAAAAAATATCAAGATGGGTGCTATAATCTTAAATATATCAATAAATATATTAAATGTAAATATACTAATATTCCAATTAAAAGGCTAAGATTGTTGGTCTGGATAAAGACACAAAACCCAAATGTATTGTTGTCTATAAGAGATATGCCTTAAATAGGATTTAAATTATAAGTTAAGAACAAGTAAAATCTGTTCCTATAAAAACAAATATAGTTTTTGTAGATTTGTGATGTAGTAATTTTAATATAAGATGAGGTAATGTTTAAGGCAGGAAACATTACTAAAGATAAAGGGGGAAATGTAATAATGATAAAAAGGTAAATCCACATGAAGATATTGCAAAGCAACATTACCTGAATAAAATAATACAGCTTCAAAGTATATGAAGTAAAAATTAATAGAATTAAAAGGAGAAATAGCCATATCCACAATCACAGTGGGAAACTTTTACATTACTCTCTGGATACATCAATCAGATGAAAATTCAATAAGGATATAGAATATCTATATAAAACAGTTAAAAAACTTGATATAATTGACATATAGAATACACTCCACCAAACAAAAGGGTTTTCAAAGGCATATAGAATATTCAATCATATAATGATTCAAAATGTAGAAAGTCAAATTTTAGAATGATTTGCAATTATTCAGCAAGTATTGTCTGACAACTATAGAATTAAGCTAGAAAATCTGCAACTGTGTGGAAATTAAACAATATACTTCTAAACCTATGGACCTAATAGGTTGGAATGGAGTTTAGAAAGTATTCTGAACTCAATAAAAATGAATTTATTGCTAAAAAAAAAACTTGGTGGTGTGAAATTGCAGAAATGCTTAGAGGAAAAAATGACCTTAAAGAGAGATATTAAAAGAGTAGAAATCCTCAAAACTCAATGATCTTAACTTCCATAGCCAGAAGCTAGTGAAAGAACAACAAATGAAACTTCTCTAAAGTGAAAACA
The DNA here is from genome assembly GCF_000001405.40 of Homo sapiens. Lineage (NCBI taxonomy): Eukaryota > Metazoa > Chordata > Mammalia > Primates > Hominidae > Homo > Homo sapiens. The sequence continues at coordinate 124,366,117 of NC_000006.12, forward strand.
TTCTAATAACAAGGACAATAGCAGAACTCAATGCATATACAATAGGGGAAAAAAAGCAATAAAGCCAAATTGCTTTTTAGTGTTTATAAAATTGAGGGGATCCTTATCAATAGTGATTAAACGAAAAAAAGAGTAAAATCACCTTTTGCTAATATCACAAATAACTCTATAGATGATTGGAGAGAGTACATTATGAACAAGTTTAAGCCAATATATTTGCAATCAGGGTGAAATAGACAAATTCTTTGGAGACCACAACTTGAAATAAATTAAAAATCTGAAGACCTTTTTATTCATTAAATAAATTGCATCATTAATCAAAATCTTTTGACAGAAAAAAAAAACCATTTTGTGTTCACATGATTTCACTGAAAAATTCTTAAAAATGTTTAGGAATGTTATACTACCAATATACACAAATTCTTTCTAAGAATACAGCAGAAGTGCCTCCCATCTCATCTTTTGAGGCCAGTATAACCTTACTTATTGAGGATACGTGTGATTGTCAAATAACAGATTACTGAACTCAAATGTAATAGGCCAGGCACGGTGGCTCATGCCTATAATCCCAGAACTTTGGGAGGCTGAGGTGGGTGGATCACCTGAGCTAGACCAGCCTCAGCAACATGGTGAAACCCCATCGCTACCAAAAATACAAAAAATTAGCCAGGCATGGTGGTTCACACCTGTATTCTTAGCTACTCAGGAGGCTGAGGTGGGAGGATCACTTAAGCCCAGGAGGTAGAGGCTGCAGTAAGCTGAGATCGTGCCACTGCACTCCAGCCTGGGTGACAGAGTGAGACCCTGTCTCGAAAAAAAAAAAAAAAAGTAATAAGAATTTTAAAATGCTGAATAACTCTCCATAAATTTATAAATAATTATGATATTATTTCCCACACTGTATTGTAATACATATGTACATTTCCATCTCTCTTTCTAAACTTGTATTTGCTAAAAGACCACACATCATCGTTATGCAGGAGAATGCCACTGAGCTACTACACAGTAGTGAGGAATTATAGAATCAGTTAAGAGCATTTTAGGTGTTTATAAATAAGCCCATTTGATACATCATAAAACAAATGCAATAAGTTGTTCTTATCAATATATTCTAATTATATGTTTCCTTAACTATCTGTTCTTCAATGTTGGAATCATGTTTTATGCATCCCTAGGATCAAGGAAAATGTCAGGCATATGAACAATGCTCACTGGAATGAAATCAAATGGTAATAGAGTGGACTTCAGTAATTGTCTAGATCTACAAATACAGCTGCTGGGGACTTTTTCTTCCCCTCCACTATTGCATGGATAATGAGGTCTACATCTCTCACGTCGATTCCAGCACTCTGTGGTGGTAGCAAGCAAAAGGAAAGTAATCCCAGCATTAGGGCACCTCAAATCAGGGCTCTTTAAAACTAACCATTATATAAATCACTTTGATATCTTTTTAATTATAGATTATGGTTCTCTTAGAGTGAGGCCTAAGTTATTTCATCCCTAACTGCTATGTGATTACATTCTTGTTGCCTGTCAAACATATTTTGAGTTGTAAGGATTTAATTACTGGGAACTTCGACATAGGGCACAAGGTGAGTTCTTGATTTCTGGCCATCCTTTGAATCAGAGATCCTAGGGTACATCTTGATAATTGCGCATAAACAAATTCATCACCTGATGTATCACTTACTGCTGATACCACCCAAGATATCAAGTGAAATAACCACTTGACCTAAGGGGCCACTTAATAGGAAATAATTCTTATGTGGACCAATTATTTCAAGGTTTTCAGAAAATTACAGTGGTGTCCATTTTTTAAAATTCAAATATTTTTAAATTTAAAGCCATGGAACTCTTAATGCTGGGTAGGTTATACCCAGAGCTCTAAGGAAAATTTAGGCTTAAATTCTTCCTTTAATTCCCAAGTTACATTATGCTGCTTTTGTGTGGTAAAATTCTTTTAGAAATGTCCCCATCCTTTCTCCAAGGTGGATCTGACTCCAAAATGTATCCAGACATCCTCTAGTTTTTCTTTATTTTCATTATAATTGAATTTTCAGAAGCAAAAGATCTCAATTTTCAGGGTATTCTTTGGTTGAAAACTACAACTATGCTTGCATATTTCCACACAAATGTTGGCCTTCCTTACTCTTGTGGTTAAAACAATTTAAACCATTTCATAGTTCTCTTGTTTCCTCTCATAACTTGAGTTGAATTCTTTCCCTGCATAAGATCTAGATGGCAGCTACAGTTCCTATGACTCTATGAATGAACTGCTTTAATTTGTACTTTCTTACTTTGACATCTTTTACTATTCCTAAAACCTCTTTCAGATTCCCCAGTGGATGTCAAGAACCCCATTTTCTTTTTTGTGGGCCTCAAAAAATATGATGGGTATTGAAAGAGGGTCCTTCCAAACAGAAGAGTCCCCCTGAGCATCAGCAAAGTTTTGGAACATAAGCTAGCATTATTTCTTCTGGGTGACTCATAGGCACCATGCATAGAAAATGTTCGTAGAAGGTCCTCCCAAAGAGCAATGAGAGCAGGTAATCAGAGTTGTTTGAAACTTAGCTGTCTTCACAAGATGATCTGTTACTCATTCAAAGGCATACCTTACCCAATTACTGCAACTTCTTACTCTGTTCTCTCTGGAAATGGACTTTTATGGTTTTATCTGTTCTCTTTTCAATCTGTTAGTAAAAAATAAACTATGTGCAGTTTCCCTTACCCAACATTTCTTTCTCAGCAACCTTTTATTCTCTCATAGATCAAAAGCTTTGGTTTCAAAGCTGTTATTTCTGATGTGGTCTTTGAGAGGCTCTTTTGAAAAATAAAATAAAAATCAAGCACCAACCATTTCTTTCTTTTTGCATTCCTACTAAAACAATGCTAATTCTCTTTGAAGCAATGAGGATATTACTAACTCAGAAGAGAAAGTTTGCAAAACATAAGTATAAAAATTAAAAGCACAGATAATAACATTCCAAGATAGTATCCTGCTGGAAATAAAATAATAACAAATATGAACATGACGTAAGCAATTACCATCCTTGTTTGTCTCTAAAGCCCACTCTATGGAAATTATTCTAGGATAGTAATTTTTATTCTGTCCCCCATTTTAAAAACCTGTGCTTGTATAGGTTTATTATTTATGGAGTCATGTAAAATAACAAGAATACATTTGCATTAAGAGTTCCATGGCTTTAAATTTAAAAATAATTGAATTTTAAAAAATGGACACCACTGTAATTTTCTGAAAACCTTGAAATAATTGGTCCACATAAGAATTATTTCCTATTAAGTGGCCCCTTAGGTCAAGCTTGTCCAATCCACAGCCTGCAAGCTGCATGCAACCCAGGATGGCTTTGAGTGTGGCCCAACACACATTTGTAAACTGTCTTAAACATTGTGAGTTTTTTGTGTGTGATTTATGTTTTCAGCTCATCAGCTATAGTCAGTGTTAGTATATTTCATGTGATCCCCAAGACAATTACTTTTCTTCCAGTGTGGCCCAGGGAAGCCAAAAGATTGGGTACCCTGCCTTACATCCCAAAATAGTTTCAAAATTTACCTGAAAAGTATGTCCAATTCCTCATACCACCCCAGCCCCTGGTGTGCTTTTGGTCTTTGATAAGTTCTGTGATGGCTGTGTCAAAATCACCGCCTTTATTTAAACTACTACCCAGACATGATCCTTGGGACTCATTTGGAAACTAAATTAAGATTGGCAGTTGACAAATTTGCTTTAGAGGGCAGAATGTCAATTTTTTTTTTTTTTTTTTAACCTGTGGATTCACTCTGGGACAATTGATGCTTTGATGAAATAGGGGGAAATTATATAAAAATACAACTCAAGGGATATTAAATAGCAAAATTTGTTTCTGGCATCCAGGGTTATTTGGCAAAGAAAGAGCAAACAAGTGACTGTTTTTCATGCCTTTCATATGATGACAAACCTATTCTATTCTGCTTTGCACTTAAAATTTACATTGAAAATGCAATTGAACCTTTGGTTTAGTAGTTCAGTACGCTACAGGTAACCAGGGAGCAATGTTCAGTAAATACCGTGCTACTAGATGCAAAACAATACAGAGAAAATGAGGCTATTTAGCTCTCTTTCTTGATTGAGATTTGCATGAAGAAATTTCGAAATATTTAAGTTTCAGCGTAGCACTTAGAGTGTCACTTCTCTTCCGCCTCTTTATAGGTTATATTTTTAATTTTTAATAACGCAAAATGTGTATACAGCCTGATGCAATCAGAAAGGCATCTTAGAAGGGTAAAAAGAGGAGGATGACTCACTAATAAACAGTCATTTATAGAATATAATTAGTTTTTCTCTTTTCTTCATTAGCACATGCAACCTGCTAGAGGAATGAGTCTAAGGGTAATTGTAGGACTCCAGGGTTTTCACACTCAGAGGTAGCATAATATATAAAACTGAAGTAATTAGGAGCTACGTCAAAAATGTCATCTTTCTTATGTGTAAAAACTAGGCATTTTGTAGCAAAATAGCAATATTAATACCACAGGGATACTCTGTTTCTTTTCCACTCTGACAGAAAAATCTCTAGTGATAGGTCCTCAAATCTTTTATTTAAATTATAAGTGAGAATGAGTTTGGTGCCCTCAATTAGTCCTTAGAGGGGAACCAATAGCACACAAGCAGGCACACTTCTTGCAATTGCTTCTGAAGAGATCTGTAGCTATATAGGCACTCGCAAAGGCTGTGACCCCCCCGGAAGGTACACCCAGTACACTCGATTCACCAGAAAGCCTACAGAATGAATGGACTCGAGATTTTGCACTCTGGTTTTATGAGTACAAGTAATCCATTGAGAAATTTTTACACCCAGACCCCCCAGTACTTATTTTCTAACGCATTTCTGCAGTGTGTTAACTGCGGCATCATAGTGTGCTACATAATGAGTCCAATTCTTCTTGTCTGTTTCTTGTTTCCTTCTCAATGAAAAATAAAAAACAAAGATAGCTGAGTTTAATATTGCCAAATAGCCAAATAATTAGTACAACTGAATATTATTTTCTCTTTAAGTTATACCTCAATAAATATAAAGCTAGAAGCATAGTTTTGAAAACAAAGTTAACAGAATATTATCTAACAGCAATAATGGGTCTGAAATGTTCCATGCAAGGAAACATAAAATGTTAATTGCTTACGAGATAACGAGACAAGAGTGTTTCCCTACAATCTTGTAACTCTAGAAAGATGAGCATTCTTAGTCTGTGACTAATTCCATTGTTTATTAATTCCATTGTTTTTTAACAGTGTAAGTTGGTCAAGAGCAGTGGCTCACACCTGTAATCCCAGCACTTTGGGAGGCCAAGGTGGGAGGATCATGAGGTCAGGAGTTCAAGACCAGTCTGACCAACAGGGTGAAACCCCGTCTCTACTAAAAATACAAAAAAATTAGCTGGGCATGGTGACGTGTGCCTGTAATCCCAGCTACTCAGGAGGCTGAGGCAGGAGAATCGCTTGAACTTGGGAGGCAAAGGTTGCAGTGAACCAAGATTGCGCCACTGCACTCCAGCCTGGGGGAGAGAGCAAGACTCTGTCTCAAAAAAAAAAAAAAAAAAAGAAAGAAAGGAAAAAAAAGAGTGTAAGTTAAGTTTTAGCAGTGTTGTGTTAGAGTTTTCTTTTATAAAGGTAAAAAAAACACACTGTAAATGTGATTTATGAGGGTTACAACATTTTCCAAGTTTATATCACTTCCCTGGTTGTGTTTTATTTTCTCAGTGATTCCATTCTGTCGAGTATTGCATAAGATCAAAGTCTCTCTACCAGGGCACACATGACGTGATCCTGTTTGGAAAACATTATCAAACAGTCAAGCTAAAATGCAAATGAACACAAACCCTAGTATTTTCTCTTGACAACTGTGGAATTACTAAACATAAAGACATGAAGATTGAGAAAGGAAGGGAGTAAAACAATTACATATTTAAAAATAAGGAGAAACTGGATTGGTTTTGATGATAAATTTATTGGTACTACAAAAAGCTCTCATGACAAAATACCATACATGTTTATACAAAGTATTATTAATGAAAGAAATTTGGTTTCAGTTTTATATTATTACAAGGTATTTTATAATCTAAATATTTCATCATATGTTTGGCCGAATTTCAAGTTACATTCTCCCAGCGTGTGTTAAAAGGAAAAATACAACATGAAAAAACAATATTTTGAGTGGGATGTGCAGGCTGTCTGTATGTGACATGTATCACCCCTCAGATCTTCAGGGTCTGTTCCATCTGTGTTTATTTTTCCTGAAGCTGTCCACTCACTTGAGCAGGCTGCCCTTCCCAGATAGAGAAAAGCCAGTCTTTGAAATTCACTAGAATTGCTGTTCTCAGGATTTTTATGTTTGTCTTAATTGATAAACTGCCTTAAGAGAAAGGATACTCAAGTTTACTTCACACTGAAATGTTCTCTTTAGGAAACATACATTTTGGAAAATATTAAAAAATACTTTACCCTGACTAAAAACAAGTTACCATATATGGTGATTTTGCATATTCAATGTTCCTGTATATTCCAAGTATACTTTTAGTTTATGTGTCAAAATTAGGTACATCTAAATCACTGGCAAATATTCTTTTTCATTATGATTCTAATTCTTGTTCCATTATTATAAACATTTCTATACTTTTCTAATATGCTTTGCTGAAAAGAAAATAATAGATATTTGTTAAAAATTTTTCTGAACATTCTGGGTTGATCCTCACATTTGATTGAACTTAAGCAATGTAAAATAACTCGTAATTTTCCTCAGCTTTCTAAAAACAGAGTTTGGATATTGTTCTAAGTGTAAGGAAACATTGAAAAACATAAGTATGATATGATTCAAATTATAGTTATAAATATCACTATGACTGTTGTGAAAATAACTCTGGCAGGAGCAAGAGTTGCAAGAGGAAAATCAGTTTGGGTATTTTTGCATTAGTCTAAGTTAGAGATGCTTTTGGCTTTGATTGAGAAAGCAGTAATGGAGGCAGTAAAAAGTATATATCCTAATGTCATATAAGATTACATCTAGTTATATTCTCGATATCATAAAGTTAGTGCTACAAGATTTGCTAATGTCATGGATGCAGGGTGTAGGAAGGGAGTGATCAGGTTTGACATCTAGGTTTGTAGTCTGAGGCATCAGAATTTGGTGTTTCCCTTTGTTGACATGAGAAAGACAGGGAGCAGGTTTGGAAATGAAAGTAGTATGTGTGCAGAATCCATGGCTCTATTTTGTCAACATCAAGTCTTGGTTGCCCATTAGACATCTCAAGCAGTGTTGTCAAGCAGGGTGTAGGGTGTGTCAGTCTTTAATTCAGATGCTTTTTGAACAGTAGACAGGAGTTTCAGTCATTAGTATGTAAATAGAGATTAAAGGCACATGAAAGAATGAGATTTCTTAGGGGAGACACTTAGGGAAAGGAAGAGAGCTGAGAATTATGCCCCAGGGCTCTGCAACTTCTCATGTCTGAAGAAGAGGATCCAGAAAAGGAGACAAAGGAGGAGTGCCCAGTGACGTAGGAAGGAAGCCAGGGCACTAGTGTTCAAGAGCTTTGGTTAAAACACTGACAGGGAAGGATGATAAATTGGATAAGGATGAAGATTAAAAAGTGAATATTAAGTATGGCAAAGAGAAAGTTATTGCCAACTTTGCTAAAAGTGGTTTTGGTGGAAAAATAGTAAAGAGAGCTTTATTAAATGAGGTGAGGTGAGAAAATGCAGACAGAGAGTAAAGGCGGCTTTTTCATGAGGTCTTGTAGTAAGATGCTGAGAAATAGGGATGCAGGAAAAAAGACACAGAGGAGTCCAGGGAGGTTTGTTCATTTGTTTTTGTTGGTTTTGTTGAATACAGTTATTGGAAGATGTTTGTATGCTGATGGAAGCAACATAGTGAGACGGAGAAACTGATGGAGTGGGAGCAAAATTCTTGAGTAACTTAGAGAGGATGGAAACCAGTGCTGAAGTACAGGGTTTGACCTTAGGTAAGAAAAGGGACAGTGAATCTGCTGCAAGGAGAAAATGCAGAGCTGATGTATGTAGATGCAGGCAGACTGGTAGATTTGGTGGTAAGGCAGTTAGGAAACTCTTTTAATTGCTTCAATGTGCTTCAGTAAAATGAGTCAAAGGTCATCAATTTAAGTGAAAAGGTATAAAGAGAGTTTTGAAAAAAAAAATGGAAAAGTGTATATGAATGGAGTGACCCACAAGAATCTATTTGACATTAATTTTCTAATAATGATGACCCCGATGTGCTGCTCCATTAACAGGGTTGTCAAGTGTTACCTATGACCTATGAAACTCATGGAAGCTGGTTAGGTTGAGCAGCAATGATGTTAGCCAACATAGCCATTTGCTTGTAACTGTTACTGCATCAGCGTCACGCTCTTTTGAACCAATTAAGGAAATTAGATTCAGAGACCTGACTAGCGAGAAAGCTTATTTAGCATCAATTTTCTGTATTGGTTTCTTACGCAACAAAGTTATAATTTTTCTTTGTTTTTAAATGTTATCAGTAATTAAAATGCAACTTCAGAGTGTCCTGTCCTACACATAATTAGAAATTAGGACAAAGTGTTATGTGCAAAGATGTTAAAACATTATTTATACTGGGAAAATATAACAACCTAACTATCCAACAGTAAGAGAATAGTTATAATATATCCCTAGGTGGTTTATTTTACGGTGCTTTTAAGATCAGAAAATTAGTTCTAAAATGATAATAATATATTAATAGTTCTGTAGGAAAGAATTTAACACAATGGCATGCAAGACACTGGCTGAAATGGCCTCTGCTATCTCCTCAGCTCATTCTCTGCCCACTATCCCTTGCAGATTCCTCTATGGCATTCTACTTTCTGCTGTCCTTCAAAACCTCCAAGCAGATCCTTCTCTCACTTCATTTTTTGGTGTTATTCCATCTGCCTAGAGCCTTGTTTCTCAGACCTCCTCATGGCCTTAGACATGAGACATGAGAAAATAAGACAACTCCTTATCTTCACGTAGGTCTCTGGTCTACGGTCACCTCCTCAATAAGGTCTTCTTAGATTATTCTGCCTAAAACACGTGCTCCAGATCCCACTCCTATTACTTGTCTTCACTGCTAATCATGGCACTTATCATAGTCTGGCATTACTTTTTACACTTGTTTACTTGTGGAATGTCTGTCTTTCCTGTGAAAATGGGGACTTACCTCTTCCATATACGTATCAAGAACAATGCCAGTAGGTACTCACTATATATATATATATGTATATAAATTATATATATATGTATATAAATTACATATATATATAAATTACATTTATATATATTACATAAACTAATGAATTGATAATGCGTCAAAGGAATAGCATTTTAATATATTCTATAATGATAAAATTATACTTTGATATCCACTTTTGCTCACCCAGAAAGTTCTCACATCATTTAGGTATCAGTAAATGTCTAAAAGGAAGCAGTACAGACTTTATACAATAAAGAACAAAACAAAACAAAAACTGAGGTAGAGCAGATAAAAATCAGAAAAGGTGCTCCCCATTCAGCTGAAGAAACTATCAGCTCACGAGAAAATGTTGTTGAAACCATCATTTTCTCCAGAAAGTTAAGAGGTTACAGAACTCAGAAAGAAGGGGGAGGAAGACATTTTTTAAATGAAGAAACACAGAAATTATTTGTAGTCAGAATAAACACCAGACCTCTATCAAGAACCTAATGGCTCAAAAACTCTTAATCAAGTACTGCTTTAATGTTACATAGAGAATACTCTCTAGGTTAAGCCTTTGCCCTTAGTTCTAAGAGACATAATGTCTGAGGGTGCCTGCACATAGTTTACATTGGAGTATGAATAGAGAATGTAAAAGAAGATTCTAATAGTAGGTAGCAGGAAAGGTCAGAAAAGCAATGAACAGTTTTGAGATTTGAAGTGTTTGTGTGGGAGAAAGGTGCAAAGAAATTGAAATTTAATTACTCTCTAATTGGAGATATAATGTTGCTTAAAAGAAAAAATTACAAATGCACAACTCTAAAAACCCACCCTGATAAATCACATATCATATCCACTTCCTTTCAGCCACACATACATATGCAAAGACATAGAAAATGATTTCTTTTCATCCAAGTGTGATTAAATGAGATTTAGAAAATGGCTACTTGGTGAGATTTTTGTAAGGCACTGAAATCAACAATTTTTATGGTAAAGAACATATGTTGGTTTTGATTTATTATTTATTTTCCAGTTTGAATAATGCAAGATGTTTTTATAAAAAGTTATGGGGAAATGCTAAGCAGACAAAAAATCTCATAGTGTGAAATACATGAGTACATTAAAAAATTGCAATAAAGCCTCCTGCAAGGAGAATTAGCATTGAGTGTATGCAATATGTATTTTCCCCAAGCAAATTTAATTTGATACATATTTTCAAAGTTTAAAAGTTTTCTCTCTTTATTAAATCAGAGAACATGTGACAAGTATAAACTTCCCTACATCACTGCCTTTGTTTAAGCTTACCCTACAGTTAGAGGCCCTTCTCACATCCAGCCTCAATCTTCCCTATCCAATATAAAACAGAATAATGTGATGCATTTTAGAATTATGTTTTTATAAATTTCTCTACTATAAATATCATTTATCTGACTTTGATTTTTATTCTTTCTTGGAAAAATGACATAAAAATCCATGCCATTTATGATGTTTGCTTTTATCTAGATGTATCCTAATTCATAAAAAAAAGACGTTTCCTTTAAAATTGATCTATTGGTTAAATTCTGACCATACTCCCTACAAATCAGCTTCTGGATCAACAAAATATTCTTGATGAAGGAACTTTGGTATTGTCAGCCATGTTGATGGATGCTTGGTAAACAGCAATATATTCTATCACCCATTTAAGGTGGGTTTAGAGTTTTCTGATCTATGGGACTAGCAAAATGTTGCTTTAGCAAAGACTTTAATATGCCATCTAGATGGAAGACATATTATAATAATATCACTAAAAATGGGTGATATTTAATATCAGTGCATTCTTTGACATTGGATATTTTGAAACAATATTCTACAAATCTTCAGATCTCACCATTTACCATTATTCTCTTATTTCAATCTACTATTTCTTTCTTCCTTCTTTCCTTCCTTCCTTTCTTTCAACATGTACTTTTTGAGAATCAATTACATGGCCTGGGCCCAAGGATCAGGGCAGTAAGCAAGCCAGACCCAGGTTTCCTAGTCATATATTCTAAAGCCTAGCAGAGAAGACAGTTAATTAAAGCATAATTGCAATGGTGTGTGATGGGTGTAATAATGGAGCGTGTACCAGATGGACATAGCACTGGGACTTAACTGAAATTTGGGGAAAGTCTCCAAGAAGCAATATTTCAAATGGTACCTAAAGGATGAGTCAGAGTTAGCCACAGAAAAGTTGGAGAAGAAGAAAATAATCCTGATAAAAAGCTGAGAACTTCACTGGCCAGGAGAGCAAGAGAAAGAGGAAGAGAAATGTGAGGGGTGAGGCTGGAGGATTAGGCAGGAATTATATTATTGACAGCTTTGAAAATTCACCATTGAACTTTACCATGAGAAGATTGAGGTAAATGGAATGATTTTTAGCGTGGAATGACATAAAATAGTTTGCATTTTAGGAATATAACTAGAGTGACCCTCTTCATAATTAGGTTGCAATAATTTGCCTTGGGAGTCCTCAATATTGCCTGCCAGTAATAACAGGGGTCCAGAAATCCATATTCTCTTCACATGAGACTCCAGCCTCCTTTCTCTTATGTATCTTGGTCTCCATTACCCTCCAGAATCTTAAGATCTCAAGAGAGAAGAGTTGAGCTTTTTGAATCCTGCCACATTGTGTCAACCCTGCTGGCTGTGTGGATACCACCTGAACTATAGAAGCTGAGTGAAATTTCCAGTCCCTGTGTACACTATTGGTGTCAGTGTGACTTCTTGCTCCAGTATTCTTTACACTTACTGAAGGGGCCCCTGTGAAGCAGGTTCACTGTGCACCCATTATCACTTCAGCCCAATGCACTTTGGGCTGCACTTTTACTATTTGTCTGAGTCTGGTGACAGAACACTCACACTCCATGAAGTGGGCTTATTACTTATAGATAGGCAGCAAGGGACAGCAAAAGCCTAGGATTCATGGTGTGTCATTTCTCAAGGCTCAGGAAAGCTACCCAGGGTGTGAAGAGTCTCATCTGTGCATGTCCTACTTTCACCACAACTGAGGCACCCTGGAAAGCAGCTTGCCCTGGGTTTTATACCCTATGGGCAACAGGATACACTGGGGTAAAGCACTGAAGGACATCCTGTTCCTATGAGTGACTGGAGCAGAGTCTTTGCTATACTGGCACAGGCCAGTTTCTCCTTATTTCAGGATGTTGCATTCCCAGTGTATTCCACAGTTATTCTTAAGAATTACAAGTGAGAAAGTGGGGAGAATTGGATCAGTCCAAGGCCACCCAGAGAACATTCCTGCAGCACCCAAGCACACTGGCTAGGCCCTTCAGGTTAATAATTTTTTATTTTGTCACTGCGCTTCCTCCACCAGCACTGGCATCTTCCTGGATGGTGGGGAAGAGAATGTTGAGGCAGCTGCAATTTCCATGGTGGTGCTACAGAGTTATGGGTTTTGAAGTTCTGTTCAGTTAAAGAATGAGGACTGAGAGCAGTGGCTCACACCTGTAGTCCCAGTACTTTGGGAGGCTAAGACTGGAGGATCACTTGAACCCAGGAGTTTGAGTCCAGCCTGGGCAACAACGTAAAGAGACCTGACTCTACATTTTTTTTTTTTAATAGCTGGGCATGGTGGTGCAAACCTCTGGTACCAGCTACTTATGAGGCTGCTGTGGGAGGATGACCTGGGCCCAGGAGTTTGAGGTTGCAGTGAGCCAAGACTGTGCCACTGCACTCCAGCCTGGACAACAGAGCGAAACCTTGTCTCAAAAATAAAGAAAGGAAAGAAGAGGAGAGGGGAGGGGAGGAGAGGGGAGGGGAGGGAGGGAGGGAGGGGAGGGGAGGGAGGGAGGGAAGAGGAGGGGAGGGAGGGAAAGGAGGAAGGGAGGGAAAGGAGGGAAGAGGGGAGGAAGGAGAGAAGGGAGAGAGAAGGGAGGAGAGGAGAGAAAGGAGGAGAGAGGAGAGGAGAGAGAAAGGAGAAAGGGGAGAGGAGAGAAAGAAGGGAGGAGAGAGGGGAGTAAGGAGAGAAGGGAGAGAGAAAGGAGAGAAGGGAGGAAAGAAGGGAGGAAGGAGGGAGGGAGATTGGTTTTCTTCAACATCCCAAGTTCAGCTTCTCAATTCTTTCATCATTTATGTAATGAATTCCCTGCCTTATAAATTTAGTTTCTAATAGTGCAAGTGCTTTCTTTTTTTCTGAATTGGCCCCGATACAGGTTTTATATGCAGTAAGAATAATGGCACAGCAATTCTGTGTGGGAAAAAGGTGGGACAGAGGCTTGGAAAAGGTCTAGAAGTGGAAGCTTACCTGACTGCAGAGCCAGTACTGTATTTGATTATCATTTCTATGATTACAAAACATCTCTACAGAAGGAAGTATGTGTGATATCATCTTGAAAAATCCATCAAGAGTTCAGTTGTAGAACTATGATGTCATTTGCACATCAGGAAAGACATTTTGAAAGGAACTTGGCTTACCTTTGTGAAATGTTAGTATAGCCCCATTATCTTGTGCAATCCCAGTGTCCCTTACCTGAGTAATTTCCTTGTTAGTTTGACTTTTTGTGTTTTCAGAAAATTAACAAAAGTTCTGGAAGAAAATGCCAGAATTTTCACTGAGTTTACCAAGGAGAAGAGGAGGGGATCAGGCACTAGAAGGGAGGGAGACTTTTACTTTTCATTTATATACCCTTTGAAACTGCTTTTACATATTTTCACGCTATGCAGTTATTACTCTTCTAATAAAATTTCAAGAAGAAATGTGCTCCATTGTTGAATAGTTAGTACAAGGATCAACAGAAGCAAGGGGCAGCCACCGCAGCCACACTGCGTCCCAGCTATTCAGTAACGCAGCAGTATTATGACTGAATCTCATCTGTGAGGGCTGCTTTCTCTTTGTTCATTTAGGTTCGGGATTTCCTTAAGAAGTAACTATGCTATTGTCAAGATGCTGAGGTTGAAAGAATCTCCCCTGCAATTCAGTGTATATACAGCACAATGTTAGAGCATTTTAGCAGCAAGACAATATTTCCTAGGGACTATATTTCATGTCTCACTTCTTCACATGTAGATGTGCCCATATAAATAGTTCTCACCAGTGGAATACTAGCAGACATAATGTGTGTCATTTCTGGGAAATTGATTTTTAAGAATTGAGTGTGCCATCCAGGATCTGTCTCCTTCAACTGGCTGGATGTAGACAACCTGATGAGGTCTTAAGGAGGATAGAAAAGCAAGGGCTGGAAGAAGCCAGGATCTTTGGATCATTGTATGGAGCAGTGGTGCAAGAAGTCTCATCTGGAAACTCTTGGGGAACCCTGATACTCTTTGGAGGGTCTGTGAAGTCAGAAGTATTTGTCTAATGACATCAAGAAAATCAGAGATATTAGCAGATGTGACTTTTTGATATTGTATAATTAAATAAGGTAACATTTGGGAGATCTGTATAACTTGGCAAACCAATATTTTCCAAATGACCAAGACGTGACATAGAAATCATCTGAGGATAAAAGATTCATTTGAAGTTCAAGATACACCAATGGATTTCAGTTTAAAATACCATGAAAAGCTCATTGATATGGCCCAGATTCCACATTGCAAGTAACCTTTAAAAGACTACCACTTGTATCGAAGTGTAACTTCAAAGAAGACTATCTACTATTATTTGAAACATTCACAAATGTCTGGAAGGACTACGAAATTGCTCTTCCCTTTACTTAGTATATTTCCCTATAAGACCAGATGCAAATATGTATATATTAGAACCAAAGCAAGATGTGACAAAAGTATAATGAAAAAGCATATATGAAATCCAACTGTCTTCTATTAAGCTATAGACATTATAGAGGTTTATAAAAATGTAAAGCAGTGTCACTCTTCTCACTAAAATTTGTTTGAAAATATGTAGTTTTTTCTAATCAAGTGCATTACTTATGTTAACATAGCAGAGTTATTACTACTTTTAAAGAAATTAGTAAATATTTTAAATTTGTTTTAATTTTTATATCTATAAATATTCATAGCTATCACAGAAGTAAATCAAAACTTTTACAGTTCTCAGTAATATTTAAGAGTGTAAACTGGTCTTGAGATAAAATAAAAAGTGTTGAGAACCATTTATTTGGAAGAAAGCCATTTGCTTAGTAAGAACCAATGTATGAGAAATAAACTCCATTGAGTTTAGGCACTTTGTATTTTGAGGCCTGCGTGTTACAGCCCTTAACTATAACCTAACTAATGCAAACCCCTGGGATAGCTTTCCAGCACCTAAAAGTGAGCTATACGTTTCATCGAACTTCTCTATAACACTGAATTGTAGACTTGAATATCTTCTCGTCTACAGTTAAGGAGAAGACAGTACATGGAGACTGAATAATAAAGATTAGCCAAATATAAAAGGTTTTGAGAACTTTTAAAAATGGAAGTTTCTTGTATTCTTTAATGACAAAATAATTTAATTTCTACTAAACACTGATCAGGAATCACAATTTGTAAATGTTACTTTTAAGCAAAACATGAGTATTTGTGTATAATGCATTATTTGATTCTAAGCTTCTCAGTGCTTTAGTATGAAAGCACACATTTTGTGTTAAAGCCTAACTTTAAGGCAATGAAAATAATATCTTCTCTTTGTTTCCTGTCACATCAAACAAATTGATCACTTTATTTACTATAGTAAACAGTGCAACCAAAATGGTGTATTTGTATTTAGAGGTATCTGGGAGTTTAGATGGTTTTTAGGAACAGTATTTCTTTTTCTCTCATTGTTAGATTTATTATTGAGGTAATGCAATTACCCATTTTTTTTGCATTCATATAAAACATGTAAGACAGATGTTTTACTGTAATCCTATATCCAATCAATATATTATTTAAAAGACTACTGAGTAGAAAGAGGAAAATGCAGTTTATATTGTTTACATCCTTGATGCACACATCCTTTCTGAGAGGAGAAAAAAGGAGAAAGGAGAAATTGATTTATGAACAATCTATATTTTATTCATTTTCCAACTTTTCTCTTTATATCCATCATAAATGAAATCAGCAACAGTCAGGCACCTAGACAAATTGAAACAAATGCGAGCTAAAACTCTGATGGGCCCAGTCCCATTCTGGTAGAGTTCTGTGTAATGTGTTCCTGGATTGCAAGTTTGATCTTGAAGATATTCTATGATAGGCCTTTTCCAATCTGCTCAAGCTACACAATATTGGGGTAGTTCCTGTCCTCTAATTCTCTGCCAGATTGTCATAGCTAATGGCAGACAATGTAAAAGCAAGGAAGTTTGGTGGAGCTGTGAGATTTTGCTATCCTCAACTATATCCCACATACAAAGTAAGCAGAAGAAAACAGTACCCCAAAATCTATTAAAGGGAACAAAACATGCTATATAATTAATGCACTGTCTCAAGGTGAGGTCTAACATTTATTTTGTTACAGGTTTCAGACTTGTTTAAATTCATCTTGCCAAGTTCAGTTTATTTGTGGTGACAATTTAATCACAAATGTTTGATACCCTTAACTATTGTGAGAGAAAGAGAAGGAGAAACAAAATTACATCCGTTACCATGGCATCATGATATCTGTTAGTTTTCTGGCCTGTGCCTGAAACCATCCAAAGTGGCTTATATGTTTCACAAGTTACTGGTCCTTACCACAGTCAAGGAGGTAAATGCTATTTTCCTCCTCACTTTTCAAATCAGGAAAGCAAGCATAGCGGTTAGCATTTTTTCTGTACTGCTTCACTTTAATTATGTTGTTCCTCCAATAGTGTCACCATTCATCCAGTTTCTAAAACCAGAAACTGGGGAATCCACTAGGATTTCTCCCCCAGGCACCCTTTCCTTTAACAAGCCATGTTAATTTTACCTCGCTAGTGTCTTTGCTAGAAATAATATCCATCCTCACAGTTGCTGGCTGACATCAATTATCAACTCTTGGCTGACCCACAGATAAACTTTTCCAAACCATCTTCCCAGAGTTTGACTCTCTCCAATCCATTTTTTTGACACTGGAAACAGGGTGATCTTTCTAAAAGGGCAGATTGTATAAGGTCACTTACCCACCAGAAACACTTCAGTGGCTTCCTGTAAGCTACGGAATAAAATCAAACATCTAGCTTGGTATATAAGGCCTGGCACAATTGACCTCTGCCTAACTATCTCTTTCTTCCCTCACCTCCCACAGCTCCTTGAACCTATACCCCTGACACACTGGATTGGATCTGGTGGGCATGCTCTTGTGGCCACACACGTGCTGTTCCCTCAGCCTGGCAGAGTGTTCCTTCATTCTTACTGACCTTGGATAAACTCCATTTACACACACACTCAGCTCCAATGCCAATCTCAAGGAAGTTTTCTCTCCACTTCTGTACTAGCACCTATCATGTACTTATCTCTGTTATTTTGTTTTCATCACTCTGTCTTCCATACCTGGACTTGTTAGGAAAAGCTTGGACAATCAGCTAGCTTGGCTTTAAACCTTTGTTTTCATTGTTCTGTATTCCATACCTGGACTTGTTAGGAAAAGCTTGGACCATCAACTAGCTTGGCTTTAAATCTTGGCTCTTCCTGAATGATCTTACATTTCTCTGTTTCTCTGACTCTCAGTCTCTCCATTAGGGAAATAAGAATATTAATTATACCTACATTAGACAATGCAAATATGAGTTGATATCAGAGGAGTACCATTCTTAGCTATGGGCTCATATAGTGTAAGTATTCAATAAACATTAATTATCAGTATTAGCCATTCTCTAGGAACATAATAGAAATACTGCTATCCCAAAGAGTTGTCTTCGTTGTACTTATCACTCTCTGAAATTATCTTGTTTATATAAGTTAATTATCTGTCTCCCCAGACCTGGAAAGTAAGATTCATGAGAACAGTGAACTTGGTAATGAACTTGGTAACCTTGTTCGCTATTGTTCTTATCACCCGATATACCATGGGAAGTCAATATGTTATCTGAGTTAATGAATATATTTAGTAGAATATTGCAGCAATCTAAAAAAGCTGACATGAGCAAGGAGTTGAGAAGTATTCAAGCAGGATCAAAGACAGATTGAACTATTGCACAGGATTACTCTATATCATCTTCACCAAGAATAAGTGGGGTGATGTAGGACTTTTTGAGACCGCATTGATAATTTGATGCCACTTAATAATTAAATTATGTGCTTTATCAAGACACAATGGATTGTCCCTATTAATCACAAAAATTATTGAGATGAGCAAGGCCTAATACTTATGGCTTGTATTTGCTTGTGATACACAATTGCTTACAATAGTTTGACTCTCTTGCACACTTTCTGTTTTTTTGAGACAGGGTCTTTATTTGTCACCTATGCTGGAGTGCAGTGGCATGATTATGGCTCACTGCAGCCTCAGCCTCAACCTCCTGGGTTCAAGCGATCCTTCTCACTTCAGCCTCCTGGGTAGGAAGGACCACAGGCATGTGTAAACACACCCAGCTAGTTCTTGTATTTTTTTGCGGGGTTTTGCCATGTTGCCCAGGCTGCTCTGAAACTCCTGGGCTCAAATGATCCACCCGCTTCAGCCTCCTAAAGTGCTGGGATTAAAGGCTTGAGCCACTCTGCCCGTCTCTTTTACTCACTTTTTAAATTAACGCAGTCAATTCCTTTTAACTTGCTTTCTAACTATAAGCCATTGATGTTACTGAATGGCCATGAATCATTAATTTCACTTTTGCTGACCATTTAAAATAATATCCCTGAAATTGCAAGAATAGATTCCAAATGAGAAAATAGCTGCAGAAAAATAGTATCATGGTGCCAAAAGTCTCGCCAAGTTAAGTCACGTGTCACAAATGGAAAAAGCTCAACACCTGAATATATTTTCTTTTAGCCAGCTATGAGGTATAAAAAGTTCTGTTGGACATTTAAAGGCCAATTGGAGGGCAATGCCATCAGCAGGACTGGGCATGTCAGGGAGATGGACGAGGTGCCTTGAGAAGCTGTGAAAGGAGAAACAGGAGTCTCTTAGCCACTGGCAGCCCTCTCATAATTTCTTGAGACTGCTTATAGACCTGTTGGGAGGCTTCTCCCCTCTAATGTCATTCTCTACTAATGCAGCCAATCTCCACCTCAGCAATGCACGATTATAACCACCCCAAATGCACGATTATAACCACCCCTAGATCTTTTTAAACATAAAGATCACCAGGATCTGGCCCCGACTCACTGAATCGGTGTCTCTTAAAACTGGAAATTTGAATTTTTAATTCTGTATATCCACAATGATCATAAATCCTTGTTTGCCCAGTTCAGTCTGGGTCTTCACTTGTTCTTCCACTATAATTCATTCCAAAAAAGCTCTGTGTTTGGACAATAAATTATGTGTTCACCTTACCTATAGGTGAACACATCTATCTTTATGTTCTATAGGTGAACATATCTATCTCATGAGTAGCCAAGATCTACCCCCTCTCAAATGCTGTTTCTCATATTTATGCTACATATTTATGGAGTTCTTGCTAAAATCTTCCACTGATACATGTACATACTCATATATATGTAGTTACTTCAAAAAAGTTCATGAAAAATAGAACAAAAAGATAAAAATAAAAAATATAGACTTTATTTCTCAGCATAATCTCCATCAAGTTTAAGACACTTATGTAAGCAATGATATCAGCCATTTAGCCCATTTCTAAAGAACTGGGGGTCCTGGGAATATAATCAGTCAATGCAGTCTTTTTTACATTATTAATTGAAGAAAAATGGGTGTCCTTTAAAGATTTTTTAAGATTAGAAAACAGAAAGAAGTCAGAAGGAGCCAAGTCGGGACTGTAAGATGGATGCCTAATGATTTCCCGTTGGAAATCTTGCAAAATTGGCCTTGTTTGATGAAAGAAATGAACACCTGTCGAGGTAGAGAAGTACTCGCTGGTAACGCCTTCCTGGATGTTTTTCTGATAAAACTTGGCTAACTTTCTCAAAACACTCTTATAATAAGCAGGTGTTATCATTCAATAGCTTTCCAGAAGGCAAAAAACAAAATGCTTGAGCATCCCATAAAACCGTTGCCATGACATTTACTGTTGACTGGTTCACTGTTGCTTTGACTGGACCACTTCCACCTCTTGGTAACCATTGCTCTGATTGTGCTTTGCCTTCAGGATCATACTGCTAAAGCTAAAGTTCATCTCCTGTTACAAATGTTTGAAGAAATACTTCAGGATCTTCATTCCACTTGTTTATAATTTCCATTGAAAGCTCTGCTCTTGTCTGCAGCTGATCCGGGCGCAATGGTTTTGGCATTCACTGAGTGGAAAATTGGCTTAGCTTTAATTTTTCAGTCAGAATTGTATAAGCTGAGTCAATTGAGATGTCTGTGGTGTTGGCTTTTGTTTGTGCTGTTAATTGCCAATCCTCTTCAATTAGGGCATGGACAAGATAAATTCTCTTCTCACAAATCTACCTGGATGGTCTGCTGCTGCAGGCTTCATCTTCAATATCATCTCATCCCTTCCCAAAACAAGTTATTTATTTGTAAACTATTGATTTCTTTGGGCCATTGTCCCCCTAAACCTTTTGTAACACATCAATGATTTTACAATTCTTCTACCCATGCTTTACCATACATTTGATGTTTGTTCTTGCTTCAGTTTTAGCAGAATTCATGTTGCTCTACTTGGGGCTCTTTTCAAACTAATTTCTTATTCTTCTTAGTGCCTCAGAGTAGATCCTTTTCATACATGTCCTAAGTTAATGTGAGTTTATTTTGGCTCAACAACTTTGAAATCCATGCATAGTGTTTTGAAAACATGCATTTTCCATGAACTTTTTGAAAACTTGTATAAAATATATGAGTGTACACTTACATGTATGCATATACATACATACATTTATATCTTTTTAAAGTTGATTTTACAATAGAAAAATGATAAGCAAGCAGTGACATCATGTGTCTTTAGTCTTCTATTCTGTAAAAAAAGTTTGGACCTAATTAAAGGTTTTTTTTTTTTTTTTAATCACTGTACTTCTTGCAAAGTGTGTGAAAGAACCTCCTTGCCCCATTGCATGAAACTGAATTCACAAACTGAACTACTTCAGAATATTTAGCTCTTGCTCCTAGTCATATAAACAAAGCATCAGACTCAAAGGCAAAGAAATAGTATGCCAATGCCTGGCTGATTACCTGTCATCCTCTTATCTATCATTTTATGTCCAGAAAACAACAGCATTAGGTGAAGCTTGAAATGACAAAATGATCCGCATGATAACCAAAGCATATGAGTAACAAAATTCCAGTCTAATGTTTGTGTATAGCTTTTGTGTTTGCAAAATTGGATTTTTTTCAAATCCAGCGTGCTACCAGCTAAATCTATAGACTGATGGTTTAATCTATACAAATCAGAATAAGAATACCTATTTTTCGCCTTTTAAAGATGAACTAGTTTGTTTCTAAAAGCTATGACCTCAGAGAAAAGTTAATATAATCTGTGCCTTGTATATCTCTGCATCTGTACTCCAGGCCCAGTCTGAGACCTAATTGGTAGTCAAGAAATACTAGCCAAATTAAGATGAATAATTTAAAAGGCAAATGGAAACAGCACTGTTCTATGTGGGTAGTTCTCGACTAGAGGCAATCTTGCCTCTCAGTTGATACTTGGTAATTTCTGGAGACATTTTTGGTTGTTATAAGGAGAAGGTGCTACTATCATGTAGTGAATAAAGACCTGGAATGCTGTTAAATATCGCCCAATGCACAGAAGAGCCCTAATAACACAAAATTATCTAGCCCGAAATGTCAACAGTTCCAAGGTTCAGAGATTCTGCTCTGGTTCAATACCCTAGATCTAGACTACTTCCACATTTTTTAACCTGAATTATTAATTTTACAAAAAAAAAACCCTGCTTACCCTCTTGTTACTATTGGATAAAGATCAATTTCATTGACTTGGACATCAGGACACTGTTAGGTTTATTTATTATACCCTTTCTATTCACTATTATGTCCTATTTATTACTCAGGCTAGAAACCTCTACGGTGGTGGTTCTCTGTAACACACTCACCTGGACAGCTTGTTAAAACAAATGTTTCTGGGGTTCTTTCTCAGAGTCTTTGATTTAACTGGTCTGGGGTAAGGACTGGTAATGCTGATGCTGCTGGCCCATGTGCCCCACTTTGAAAAACACTGATCTACAGTAATGTAATCTACCTCTTCATATTCCCCAAATTATTTCACTCCTCCCCTTCTTCCAGGTTATTTGTAATGCAGACCTCCTACTTCCTTTTATAAATACAATCAATTTTCATTATTTGAGGGTTCTATATTTTCAAATTTACTTAATAAAATTTTCTATAGCCTCAGAATTAATACTCACGGTGATTTAATGATCATTAGTGGACATATGCAAAGCAAAGAAAAATTTGAGCCTTTTAATGCACACGTTCTTAGCTGAGGTTGAACAAAGAGATGCTCTGCCTTCTTATTTTGGCTCTCATATTGTGAACAAGTATGCCTTGTATAGTCTATTTAGTGCCATTTTTGGCATTTTTATGCTTTTTTTGTCAGTGATTTTCCTGATTAAAATGGACTCCAAGCATAGTGCTAAAGTACTGACTACTGTTTCAAAGTACAAAAAGGCTGTGATGTGCCTTTCAGAAAACACGTATGTGTTTATAAGCTTTATTTAAGCATGAATGATAGTGCTGTTGGCTATTACGTCAATGTTAATAAATAAATAATATGTATTAAATAAGGTGTCTGTAAACAGAATCACACATAATACAAAATTATATATTGATGAATTCACCTAAATGTTGTAACCAGAGGCTTATAGGAACCTAACACTGTATTTCCCCTAGGAACAATGGTTCAGTATTCACTAATTCAGTGTTTGCTGTGACTTTATACACAACATTATTGGAATGAGACTTAAGAACTGACTGTAAATAAATCTTTCTCACCCACCTCCCACTACTTTTTCTAACTGCCCTGTCTCCCACAGGGCTTCCTTTCTTCCTATTAAATAGCTCCTCCTATCTGCAATTTAAAAATTCTGCCTCAGCAATGCTGGTGTTATTTCATAATGCCCTGCTGGGTTGAGTTTGTATTTGATATTGTTTGGTTTATTCTGTGTTAAGCATAATGTTGGGTACTTGATAAGGGTTTACTAAATATTACTGAATAAGTTAATTCAAATGCAAATATGTTATCTCAGTGGAGGGACATTGCAATGTTAGCAAGGATTCTTTTTCTAATCTCTTGGAACCTAATAAAGCCCTGAGGAAATAGACTACCTTACAAGTCAGTGTTAAGAAAAGGTAAGATATGAAATGATTTTTTTTCCCAAAAGGTCAAAACTGTTAGATCCTCACCCTCTTTCTCTCTATCTTTCTCTCTCCTTTCCTCATCTCTGTGTACATTTGTGTGTGTGTGTGTGTGTGTGTGTGTGTGTGTGTGGGTTTGAATCTGTGACTGTAGAAAAGAAAATAAAAGATAATTTATTGGCATGTTAGAAAAGGAAAAAAATAGACATGACAGTAATTGCTGAACAATGCACCCATTTCCATTCCCTATCCGTGGCCTCACTTTTGACCCCAGAGTAGAAAACTCTTAGGTAGATATTGCTTGTTGAAGAGGGCATGGAAATGGATATTCCTGGGCCATTAACAAGCTGTGTGTGAGTCCCCATCTTTTATCCTGAAGATATCTGAAGGCTTAGGTTATGTTAGCACACTCAGCCTGACAAGATACAGTAGACTTAATAGGTATTCCAAAGCTCTGAAAAGGTACAGTGTTCTTTCGTCTTTGCTGCCAGTGCAAAGTGGTTTTTCTCTAGTCCTTTTCTAGCAAAGCTCTCAAGCTCTCCTCCTATCAACAACTCAAAGGCGGGTGGGTGAGGAGTTACTTTTCATTAGTATATTTCCACCTAAGACTGAAGCAGGGGATTTTAACAAACGTTTCTTATTTGAGGTACAGCAGCACTCAGGGAGCTTGGGACATGGCTGTTTACTAACCATTCTGGAACTATTTCAATACTCTAGCAATTAGGCAGGCTGAAGCAAACAAGCTCGAGATCAGCTATGAAGACAAGTTTACTGAATGAGAACATTATTCTGTCTTAATAACGTTAACCAGTAGAAAACTGGCTTTTATTGCTTAATATGCTATCTGAACACTATCTGGCATGTGTCTTTTCCAAAGGAAGAAATACCATCTGCAGATGAAGATTTGTAATACAGAAAAATACCTGGTTCCTATTTTCTGTACCAATTTGAAGGTTAGAGATACATGAACAGAGTTCAAAGAAATATTGACTACAGAATAGATTAGGAAAAGTCCAGTGATTTGCAAGGAAGATGAACATATGAGATCTACCTATGGGGCTTTCCCTTCTTACCTTGCCCAGAAAATAATGATAGGTTTCTCTGTCTACCTCAGCACCCATCTGTGAACTGGTGGAAGGAGCCATGTTTATCAAACAGAGAGTGGAAGAAAGCACCAGAACTG
Organism: Homo sapiens; assembly: GCF_000001405.40. Classification (NCBI taxonomy): domain Eukaryota; kingdom Metazoa; phylum Chordata; class Mammalia; order Primates; family Hominidae; genus Homo; species Homo sapiens. The sequence goes on from NC_000006.12 coordinate 124,390,802, forward strand.
CAAATCCAGAATTTCAGTCTACAGAGTAAGGAAGGGACAAGGCTGGCCCTGCATCTATTCCTGTAGACCCTGCAATGCCAGGGGATATAGCACAAGGCCATTGTAAGTTCCATGAGGAACTAGGAAAGAGAAAAAAAAAAGAGAAGCATCTAAAAATATGTTAAAAGTTCACATTTCTGGTGCTGTTTTGGACATTTTTTATGGGAAAGTTCTTTGTAAGTAATACAATATCTTTGAAAGAAATTTTTGCTTTCTTGCCCTGGTTTCCATGAGATGAATAACTATATTTCCATAACCTGTGCATAGATGTGGATGATTAACAAATACACATTGAATGGTTAAAGCCTTGCTATCCAGGATAAAATGATCCAAACATGAATGCTTACTGAGTAGTATCAGGTAAAGCTCCAAGTCAGTACAAGTCTACAGTGAAGAAAGATGTGGTAAAAATTATTCTTGTCACAAACTTACCTGTCAGCTGATGAAGTGATGTTTATATGTGTGGGCAAAAGGGGTTAGCAGGTGTCTGTAATCACTCTGTCCTCTTGCCTTTTTGTTTTCTTAATCTGTCAGTGGCAATTTGGTATGATAGGACCTTTTGAAGTCCAGGGCTGTGCCTCTCTTGTTCACCAGGGCCTGACACAGAGTAGCTGCTCAATAAATATTTGTTCAGTGAATGAGGAGCCCTTTAACAATTGGGAACATATACCTCTACAGAGCAGTGGACTCTGAATCCATTCTGAGATCGCTTCTGCTTCCTTGCCTCTTAAAATCCAAAAGAGTCAGAACACACAAAGAGAGCTCTCCATCAAGTAAAAATCCCCCAGTGACAACAGAGTCTAAGGTTAAATATAATTTTTCAAGTTGTCTTCTAAGATTCAGAGTTCTCAGTTTCAACTCACTATTCCCAGAGGATGTTCAAAGACCAGGAAATAATGTGAAAAGACCGAGTCTATTTATAAATTACTTTTGGTGGTGCTCAAAACTTGAACTTCTTGTGATCTTATGAACTCTTCGACTTCCCTGTCCCATACCCTACTATCCTTCCCCCTACCTAAGTCAGAGTGTGGACTTCATGGATTCTATTGGTTACTAATCTCTGCTGAGCAACTCAGCACTTCTGGTTGTTTGTATGAAACTGGAATCTCCAGGTAAAGAGTAATTTGTCTTGTTACTTGATGCCAAACAATGAATTCACCTGATATAACACATTCATTGAATATCTATGCTTCTTTATACAGGCAGAACTCAAGGCAATGTATCTATTATATAAATGATATTTTTCGTTCCTTTTCTAATATCACTATTATATATTTTTTTCCTGAATCAAAAGTGCTTTTAAAAACTGGAAAATTTGTTGGATATCTTTTTTATTTCTCATTGTTTTTAAAATAATTAGATCTTATTCAGGGCAGCCAAATTCTTAAAATGGTAGTTCACACAAACTGTAAGCTTTGTAAGGCCCGTATTTTATTGGTTTACTGTAATATTCAGTACCTAATACCATGCTATGGCCATAGTAAGTACTCAATAGCTATTTGCTGAATTAACAAATAAATGTCCTTTGTGACGTTTTTCACTTCCTCCATTACTTCTTAGCTACAGGCACAGAGCAATAAATTGGTTAGAAATAACCCTTAAGGTTTTTAAATCATAAGCAAAGCAGAGATTAATTCTAGAAATATCAGATGAGGACTTTTCCAGCAGAGGTCATAGTGAGAAGTGTGTGTGTGTGCGCTTGTGTGTATTTGCCCTGAGCCGAAGAAAAGTTTAGGGCTATGCTAGACTGTAGCAGTTGCCATTGAAAAAGCTGTGGAAGCACGCTCACTACAGTTGGTTATTTCGTAGTTTTGTTCCAGTTGTACATAAAAAGTGTATTTATGATAGAAAAAAATACAATTCTTCCTTCTATTGATTTTTGAAGGGTAGAACAATTTAAAAGTTGCTGCATTTGACAGCAATGCCAGAAATATAAATTTTATAAATAATTCAGTGAAAGGCTGGAGGTCTTATCTCATGTAATAAGGTCTCTGGTCTATGATCAATCACCTACTTGGGACAATATGCTCCTAGTTTTTTCTTATTTTCTCATTCTCCTGAAAGCTTGCTACTTGGCACCCTTGAGCCCAGGATTTTGAGGCTGCTGTAAGCTGTGATTGCACCCCTGCACTCCAGCCTGGATGACAGAGTGAGACTCTGTCTTTAAAACAAATAAATACATAAATACAGTTTGATCTACATCCCTTTCCTTTTGGACTGTGTTTCTTGTCAGATTGTTGTTATATAAGTAAAATCAAGAAGTTATAGTTGGAGACAGCTGTGGCTCAGTAGAAACTCTTTGGGGCTAAAAGTAAGGAAATCCAGGTTTAGTCTGAGTCTTTCACGTGAGCAAGAAAGAAGACTTACATTTAAGTGTGTGAAATTAACTTTTAACTATAAAATACTACAGAGATATTCATTAGCATCATCGTTACACAATGGCCCAATACGTAAGATGCAACTATAAACTGATGAGAATAATTATTCATGTCACTTATAGAATTTTTTTTTTTTGGAAATTTCTCATGTAATGTCTCTTAAGTGATATGTGTACATTAACAAGACTGTGAGTAGTGGAAAGAATTAGAATCAGAAGACCTGGTTTCTAATGCTGGCAATACTGTTTGCTAGTTTTATGATACAGACAAACGCTTCTTCTCTCTAAAGTTAATAGATTCATTTATGTAATTAAGACAAAAATAATAGAGCATTGCTGAAATACTGAGTGACGGTTAAAAAGCATTCTATTACTAATGAAGAATTAAAAGGATGAATCATAATAAAATGCCAGGTACTGGTACAGATGGTGAGGAGCCGAGTCTCAAAACCTCACCCCCTGACTCCAGACACCCTATACCCAGCAAGCAGCTACTGTCAGTTCCACCCTGGAACCTAGTGTTAGTCATGCATGCGTAATGGCTGTATAAATATACTTGTATGACCACAAAAGGAACCATGTTTTATGTGCATGCGCATTATATGCCACTCAGTTAGAATTCTGTGAACTGTTTCATTTAATTCTCACTACAAACTTCAAAAATAGATACTATTTCCCCACCTTTTACAAGTGAGGGAATGAAGACCAAAAGAAGTAAAATCCATTGATTAAAGTTACACAGTTTCTAGGCAGCAAAGAAAGAGTTGAATCCCAGACTTATTGAGTTTAAAGTCTATGATGTCACCTAGTATACTCAGGCCCTAAGCACCTAAGAGTGTCTGCAGAGATCTGGACATCTGTTCTGGGTATAATACTTGCATTGTCTAATATTTTAAGGCCATGTATTTATTTACTGCATAGATTTCCTCTTTATTTTATTTGTATTTTTCATGAGTCATTACTCTGCACAAATGACTTTGGGCAAATCATGTGAAAAAAATTGGGCTCCATGAGATCATCTATAAAATGGCTGGGTTATGTTTTCTCCAGCTTTTGTAGTTCTGTAATTCTGTTAAGGGAGTTTGATAAGCACACTTTCTCAATGTCTTCACTCTTTTTCTTGGCTTCCTTTAACAGCATAATACTATAGGATCAAAAAGAAAAAAGTAAAACATGACCTCCTAATAATGCATGGCCCTTGTATTAGTCAGGGTTTTCCAGAAAAACAGAATCAATATGAGATAGATAGATAGATAGATAGATAGATAGATAGATAGATAGATAGATAGATTAGATAGATACAGACAGACAGATAGATACATAGACAGTATAAGAAATTGACTCATGTAATTATAGAGGATAGAAGTCCCAATATCTGCAGTCTGCAGGTTCAAGACTAAGAAGAGCCAGTATTTCAGTCCAAACCCAAATGGCAGAAAAAAAAAAAAAAACAGTGTCCCAGGTCAGCGGTCAGAAGGAGGAATTCAGCCTTTTTGTTCTATTCAGGTTTGCAATTGCTTAGATGAAGCCCGCCTATGTAAGAGAGCAAAATATGCTTTACTCAGTCTATGAATTCAAATGCTAATCTCATCCACAAACACCCATAATAGTGTTTGACCAAATGTCTGAAGATCTCTCGGCCCAGTCAAATTAACATATAAAGTTAACCATCACACCCCCAGAAGATTGTGCTTCATTGCTCAGAAAAGCTTTTCTTGGCCATGCGGTGAAGGCATGGGGAAAAAGAGTGATAATATGGGCTTGGACTTCCTGAACATCGTCAGTCAGGTCTCTCTAATCTCTTTCCAGAGAGCCAGAATAAGACCTGTAAGTGAGTTAACATTGAAGATGATTTATAATACCTCCTCTGTATATAATTAAAAATAGACAAAATTAAACATAAAATAGGTACAAAGTAATTGAAATAAATCTTCTCATGAATATTTTAATACTTCAAATTTGAAGGTACCCCCTTTTTCCTGATGTTCTCAATATGCTTGCCAACACTGTCCTATTCCCACAGGATGAACATCCAAACTCCATCCAAGTCATAGGTGATTCCAGAGAGAAATCTTCTATGAAATTCTTCCATCTGTCATATTTTGAATTTTGCATTTTTACCTTTTATACTGAAAATTATTCCTGTTATTTCATTTACCAAATAGTGTATTCTTTATTTATGGTTATAAGTGGATATCATAGATACACTTATAACAAGTTACTAACAACATTAAAACCCATAAATTAATCTCATTCAGTGGTAAACACATAATGTTGCATTCTAGTTTTCCAAAAGAGATAAAAGAAATGGTTAATAAAATTGAGATACTCATGGATGTCTCTAATACCAGCTGACTTGGAAAGGTAAACATCTCAGTCACAACTGAAACTTAGCATGTGAGTTAGAGGAATGTAATATTAAATTCCTCTCTTAAACCCTTCAGATCATTATCCCCATTTCACTTTTAGGTAAAGTAACATCAGTGATGTTTTTCATTTGATTATTTCTTTGATTACATTCATAAATAGAATGGCAATGGATATGTCCAGTGTGGAAGCATTTGAATAAATAGTTGCTGAAATTGCTTTATAGGAAAATAGATCTAGTATCATTCCATGCTGAAAATATTGTTATATGTCCTATACAGAGTCTCGGAGTAATAAGTATCATTTAGTCTTGTGGTGATATATTTGCTCATTTATTCTTTAACTGTGTTCAACAAATACTTATTGAGTGACCACTGTGTGCTAAGCCTCTAGGCTCTGGGGCTACATCAGTGAACAAAACATACAAAACCTCTGCCCTCAGGAGCTTATAATCTGGTATAACTTCCATGGTACTTTGCATTTATATATACATATCTCCAGGTGCCCTCAGTCCAGGGAGAAGGCACTACTGGTTTGTTCTCTAGGACTTTATCTTATTAAACAGATGAGGTTAAAAACACTCTACCACTCAAAATGAAACAATGGGTATCTCCCAATACATGGTAAGATGCCATGGGCATCGCAAGATTTAATAATATTTAATAATTTAATAATAAATTGTTACTATTAGAATAGAATATGAAAGGGGGAAAGATAATACCAAGATGTGAAGAATAAATTTTTCAAGCAAAGAGAGTGGCTGGGAATGAGAGAGGAATTGATACAATAAAATGGGTACCAAAAAAACACAAAAGGAATAATGAATAAGACCTGCTATTTGATTAAAAAAAAAAAAAAGAAAAGAAAAAAAGAGATTCAATGAGGCTTGGAAAAAGTCTGTCACCTAGATTTGATGAAGGGCATCGGCTGACTAGTAGAGATACATAAGGGGAATAGTTTTAATGAAACACGATGAGTCAGAACTGTGATTTCAGTCATGTCATTCTGCCTTACTTAAAGGGAAGAAGGTCTAGAATCAGAGTTGCTGATGGAGAGTATGTTTCAGCAATTCAGGCCAGAGATCATTAAGAATGTGTATAGATGGAAAGGAATAAATAACTATTACAGATATTGTTGAATTAGAATTATGTGTGGGAGAGTGGGAGGTGTATGAGGCATCAAAGATGACCAAAAACTTGCTTCTGATGCATCAAAGATAGTGGCATTTCCCACAGTGATGGAAAGGTTACATTTAAAAGATGAATTCTATTTGTTTAAATTTATTTTTAACTTTAATACAGGCATTATTTAGTCTTTCTTATGGAGAAGTATTAATTATCATCAGAACATTAGAACTTTATGATTTTTGTAAGTTGTGGTGAAAATACAAAAAGGCATTAGAGAATGATTTTACTTTTTTATCTGGAAAAGGAACAGTTAACTGTTTTATTAACAGTAGTGGTTGATACTTCCATAGATCTGATAAAATAAATATGGGCCTTTGATTTTTATTCATATCTCTGATATAATTATTTAATATATCCCTAAATATAACTCTAAATACACATAATAAAGAAAATTATAATGATGGTTTTAACATTTATAGTGTAGTGTTCCTGCTTTGAAATTTTGCTCAAAGAAATTAACAGTTTGTATAAATTGCATTGTAATTTAAATAATATAAATAAATGTAATTATAATTTTTCAGTAATTTCTGATAATTATTTACTTTTTTCTAGAACACATTATGGTAGAATTCAATTCAAACATATTCAGTGCTTACCAATAATGATGACGTCTAAGAACAACGATAATATAATTACTCCAAATAATAGCTAACAATTGTGTACATTCACTGTGTACCTACCATTGGGCTGTTTTACCTCATTTAATAATAGATGATTGTCCCTGCTTTATTGATTGAGATACTGTGTCACAGAGAGTTTTTTTTTTTTAATTATAACCAGGTTTGCATTAAGCCAGATTTTGAACCCAACAATTTCAACCAATATGTTATGCAATACTAGAGTGGGCGTTGAAATGTGGAAAAAAAAGAATTTAAAAAAAAACTGTTTAAATTGTATACATTTGAAATTGTTTTCTCATGGAAATTTGTCCTTATCCATATAACAAGCATGTCAGGTAGTCAGGTGTTATTATCTCCGTTTCAAACCAGAAAACCTGGCTCAGGAAGATTAACGAATTGTGAAAGTCAAAACTGTTTTTCAGTGGTCAAGAGGGAATTTTAATGCTCTTTATATTTTGATTTTAAAATTAGATTAGCTTCATTGGAAGAAGAATGGCCTGAAGTGGACCTAAAGCCAGGTTCTCAGAGTTTATGGTGCTTAAAAATTCCTAGGGAATTTATTTAAAATGAAGATACCCGGGGCCGGGCGTGGTGGCTCACACCTGTAATCCCAGCACTTTGGGAGGCCGAGGCGGGCGGATCACGAGGTCAGGAGATCGAGACCATCCTCGCTAACACGGTGAAACCCCATCTGTACTAAAACTACAAAAAATTAGCCGGGCGTGGTTGCGGGCACCTGTAGTCCCAGCTACTCGGGAGGCTGAGGCAGGAGAATGGCCTGAACCTGGGAGGCGGAGCTTGCAGTGAGCCGAGATCGCGCCACTGCACTCCAGCCTGGGTGACAGAGAGAGACTGCATCTCAAAAAAAAAAAAAAAAAAAAAAAAAAAAAAGATGAGCCCAAATTACAGAATCTCAAATCTCATTTGCCTTTTGACAAAATACCACTTCACAGGTAGAATTTAAGTGGGCTGAGACGATGGCAGGATTCCATTTGACTGAAGGCACAAAAGTGGAAATCCTAAGGTAGGTTGAAGAAATCAGACAAATTGATGGAACAGAGGTTTTGCAGAGGTGAGAATGAAAGGTATGATGGAAAATAGGCTAGAATTAGTCTATGGAGATCCAAATTGCAAGCTCATACTCACATCTAATATGTTTATAGTTCACTCATAGGCTTGAGAAGGCCTGAAAAAGTTTTGAACATGTTAAGTGTATTATGATGATTAAAACTACAGGTGGTATGAAGAACGGCTTATAGAGGCAATTTAAAATTGTGCAGTTTTAAGAGAAATGTTATCAACCTAAGGTGAGTACGGTGTTACAATTGGTAATGAATGGAATGGAAAAGACATAATCAAGCCTACTAGTTGATTAGTCAGAAATTAAGTACAAAAAATAGTAGAAAAACAAATGCAATGAGCTTTTTAAGTTTGAGACTAAGTATATACTCCAGAGGGGGAAGATATTTGAAAATTATCCCCATCCTGTTTCAAATTTCTGAAAAATGTCAACAGCAATTATTTCTTTTGCCTTGATTTTATTTATTTATTTAGAGACAGAGTCTCCCTCTCTTGCCCAGGATGGAGTGGAGTGGTGTGATATTGGCTTATTGCAACCTCTGCCTCTCAGGTTCAAGTGATTCTCTTGCCTCATTATCCTGAGTAGCTGGGATTACAGGCACGCACCCCCACACCTGACTAATTTTTGTATTTTTAGTAGAGACAGGGTTTCACCATGTTGGCCAGGCTGGTCTTGAACTCCTGACCTCAAGTGATCCACCTACCTTGGACTCCCAAAATGCTGTGATTACAAGCATGAGCCACCAGGCTTGGCCTTTATTTTTAAAATCTGTTTTTATTTTAGGTTTTACTTATTTTCAAGTTTATGATACTCATGAGGCTTAGCAGATCTCTACTTTGGGATGGGTTTGGTTCACCTAGTAGTTTTGGAATTTCTAATAATTGAGGGTCAATTATTTGGATTCTTGGTTCTTCTTCACTAGATTATCTTCCTCTGTGGCCAAGGGGCCCCACAACATCTACAGGCTACATTAAGAAATAAGAGTTTGTAGGGTTAGAGAAACCTCTAACACTCATAGAGCCTTTTTGTGAAATTCAAGTTTCCATGGGTGAAAACTCCCATGTGGCCTACAGATGACAGGTGTTCAGGGGGTAGCATAAGGGTTTGAGTTGGGTGGCGGTGAGTCAGGCAGGCAGAACATTCCAGAAACACACTGCAAATTTTGGCAAGTTGTGTCTCTCATAGTATCTGTCTGCTTAAGTGCCACCAACAAACACAGATTCCTTAGCGAAGCAGAGGATAGAATTAAAAGAAGAACAGCCGGCTTTGGCCAAGTATTAGGTACAATTAATGGTTTCCGCTTTATAAAAATTGTTCCTGACAAATGCTGGTAGACAAGGGATCATTAGGGAGACAAACAGCATCCTGGGGCCACAGTAATACAAAAATTGCTGGTGACGATCAGTGAATTCATTTATTTATGCTTTTACTATTTCTATGAATGAATGATAAACATTTAGAGAAAAGAAAAACAAGGATGTTTTTACAGGAGCTTTAGGAAGAAGAATGCTTCCTCCTATTTGATAAAAATAAATTAGAGACTATGTGAGATAAATTGGACTTCACCAGAGCCATTATATTTTTCTTCCTAATTGACTGCACTGAGGCAAGCAGAACATTCGCGACTTAATTATGCATACTTCTGAGGGTGCCATCAGACAGGTCAGTGGTTCTCAAATCTGCCACACATTAGAATCTCCTGCGGATCTTTAAAAATGCCTGGGCCACACCCCAAGAGAACCTAATTTAATTAGTCTGAGCTAGATTTAGGCTATGGATTTTTTTTTAAACTTAAGTTGCCAATTGATTTTAGTACGCAGCCAGAGTTGAAAACCACTGAGAGAGATAAGTGTCAGCACTTCAGTGCTCACTGGCAGAAAACCACGTTTTTCATAGAACCAGTGACTCCTCCAAATATAGAGCAAAATGCACAGTAAGAGTGGAAAAATTGGGAAAAGGAACTGGATTCTATCTATATATTTTTTTAATTTGTAAGGTTCTGTTACTTGGCTTGATATAGTCACAAGCAAAGAGAAATACTTGGCATGCTGTGAATTTGGCCTAGGCAGCAGTACTCAATATCCTGGCAGGAGAGAAAACTCCCTAATTTGAGTGTCTGCTGTACACCAAGTTTCCATTATATCAATATTCCTATTTCTTTCTTTTTTCTCTTCAAAAAAGAAGATTCTAAAATGCCTGTAAACATTTTTAAATTATTTTTATTTTAATATATAGTATAGCACTTTCACACTTCAAACAGAAGTATGAAAATGTGCATGAAACAAAGCAAATTCTTGTGTAAACACTGTGCAGGTCAAGAAATGGAAGACAGGTGGCATCCCAGAACCCTTCCATGCTCACTCTCCTAATCAGTACACTATTATCCTGATTTTTATGGTCACACCTATTTTTCTTTATTAATATTTCCATATAAATTAAAGAAGCATTGCTAAATGTTAGAGTTTTGCTCAAATTTTCCTTTTAAAAATTATGTAAATGGAATCTTACAGTATGTACCCTTTTATGTCTGGCTTCTTTCAAATGTCATTATGCTTGTTTGACACAATGCATTGGTCTGTTATTTTTGTTGCTGTAAAATCTTACATTTTTAAAAATATTACAAAATATGTATCCCTTTTGCTGTCAGTATATATGAGATAGTGCTTTTATTTATTATTACCAAAAAGAGTACCAATAAATTATGTACCTGTCTCTCAGTACACATTTCTGAGGAGTATATAATCTTAGAGTGAAATTGCTGGGAAGGTATGGGTACTTCTAATTTAGACGATAATGACATTTTCCCCCCAATTTTTTGTGCTAATGTATACTCCTACAAGCAATATTTGAGCATTCCTGCTGCTCTACATCAGGAGTCTGCAAACTATGGCTCGCCATCCAAATCCAGCCTGCCACTGATATTTAAAAGTAAGATTGTTTTGGAACACAGCTGTGTCCCTTCATTTACCCATTGTCTCTAGATGCTTTTGGGGGACAGCAGCAGAGTTGAATACTTGTGACAGAGACCATATAGCCTTCAATACCTGAAATACTTACTCCTTGACACTTCACGGAAAAAGTTTACCAACCTCTGCTCTACAGCATAGCTCACTCTTGGTGTGGTCAGGCTTTTTCCATGTTGCCATTTCTGCTGCATATGTTGTGTAATTTCCTTGTGGATTGTTTGCATTTTCCTGATTACTCGTGATGCATAACACCTTTTTTGTATATTTTTTGGCCATTTGGATATCTTCATTTCATGAAACCTCTTGATCATTTTTCTATTGGGTTTTTGTCATTTTTGTATTCAGTGCTTTATAAAATCTGGTTTTGAACTCCCTGCTGGGTATACAACTATTATTTACTCCCACTTTGTGGCTTACCTTTTTATTCTCCTAATGATGTCTTTTGATAAATGGAACTTCTATTTTTTGATGTAGTCAAATTTAAGATTTTATTTTTGGATATAGCATTTTGTGTCCTGTTTAAGTAATCATTCTTTATCCTAAATAATAAATACTCTCCTGTACTCCCAAATAATAAATACTATCTTACAAATCTTTCCAGGGGACATTTGTTAATGTCTGTGGACATGTTTGGTTGCCACAGCTGAGGTTGTGCTACTAACATTTCGTGTGTAGAGACCAGGGATTCTGCTAAATGTCCTACAATGAACAGGACAGCCCCCACCCCACCAAGACTTACCTGACCACAAATGTCAGTAGCACTGCTGTTAAGAAACCTGGACCTAAAAGATTTATTGACTTACCTTTCACATTATGATGTGTAATCTAATAGAAGTCGATAAATCTATAGTAAGTTGGTTTTATGAGTGGCGTGAAGTAGGATTCAAGTTTCACTTTTTTCTGTATGCATATTTGACTGCCTCAGTACCATGTCCTGAAACAACCATCCTTTCCCGTTACATCTGTGTTGTGATAAGTCAAGTGTTCCTATATACAAAGTTCTCTGGGCTTTCCATACGATTTAACTGTTCTATTTGTCTATCCTCATGCCAAACACTTTCTTTTAAATATTACAGCTTTATATAAGGTCTTGATATAAATAGAGCATTTAGTCTCAACATATTCTTACTGGATAAAGAAAATGTGGTACATGTGCACCATGTGGCTGTGCAGCCACACACACACAAAACAAACAATGTCATGTCCTTTGCAGCAACATGGATGAAGCTGGAGGTCATGATCCTAAGCAAACTAACGCCGGAACAGAAAAGCACATACTGCATGTTCTCACTTATAAGTGGGAGCTAAATATTGAGTACCTATAGACACAAAGAAGGGAGTAACAGACACTGGGCCATACTTGAGGGTGGTGGATACAAGGAAGGTAAAGGTGGAAAAACTACCTATCGGGCACCATGCTTATTACCTGGGGCACAAAATAATCTGTACACCAAATCCTTGTGACATGCAATTTACCTATATAACAAACCTGCACCTATACCCACGAACCTAAAATAAAAGTTAAAAAAAATTATTTCTCAAGAGCTTGACTCTTCTTGGTCCTTGCATTGTCTATAAGTTATAGAATCAGGTTGGTAAATGTATACAAAATCATCTTATTTTTGTATCAGAATTACGTTGATTCATTTGTTAGAATAAAATTGTTATTTTTAGAATATTGAAACTTTAAATGCATAAATATGGCATGTCTCCTTAGGTAATATTTCTTTTCAATTTTCTATTTTCCGTTTTATAGTCTAAACATCTAGTTTCATATTTTATGCATATTTTACATTTTGATGCTAAACGTTCTCTTTTAAATTCCATTTTTAAATTATTTCTATATAGAGATATCAATTTGATTTTTTGTGTATTGACATTATATCCAGCAACATTTCTAAATTTACTAATTCTAATAAATTACATATACATTCATAATCATATTGTCTCTGAAAAGCAACATTTCTTTCTCTCTTTCCCTCCCCAGTTCCAGTAGCTTTTACTTCCTTTTACCCCCCTTACTTCGCTGGTTAGGAGTTATTCTCCAAAGTTATTTCAGCATAGTCAATCACATTTAAGCAGTGAATATACTGTCAAAAGTATTGTAGTGGCAATGATTATATACATTTTTCTGAGCAATTTTTTATTCAACAATTATTTAATGGGCATCCACTATGTGCTAAGAATTTTGCTAGACACTAGTAAAATTAGAGTGAACAAGTCATAATCTGGACACAGGGAGTTTATGTTTTAGTGGGAGGAGAGAAATCAAAAACAGATAAATTAGAAAAAATTAGTTGCTCCATGCCATATACATTCTTCTGACCTTGCCTTTAGTTTACTAATTTTTATCTCAATTGTATAGTATGCTGTTAAACACATCCTTTGAATTATTAAGATGGGTAACCATATTTTTCAGTTCTAGAATTTCAATTTAGTTCAAATCTGTTCTTTCTTTTATAGTTTCCATTTCTTTAGCAGAATTCATAATTATGTATTTTATTTCTCAAGTTATTTTAAAGCCTATGCAAGTTAACTTTTCTATCTAAAGCACCTATGTGTGTGTTTTTATTTTCTATATTTATATTTATTCTTGTCTGCCTTCTTTTATAACTGGTTATATTTTAATATATATGAGATATGTATCTGAAAATATTGTGTAGAAATAAGCTGAGTCTTAGGATAATTTTTATCATCCTTCATCGTGGATGTTTATTTAAGTCTGTTGCTTGCCTGGGGGTGCTGCAAGTTTGAATCACCTTTATTCATTTCCAGGCGTGGAGATGATTGGAAGATAGGAGGATTTCTCTACTTCTGATTAACTGTTATTCTCGTGGAGGGGGAGTCGTCTCAGGTCCCAACCCAAAAGAGAGAGGGTTCACCAGGGATCACTTTTTGTTGATTCCTGAGCATCATTCACTATGCCCTAGCCAAGAGAAGCTGCCAATGTTTCCTCTCAGCAGCCTTGTCAGGAATCAATAAATACTGCCAGAAGAACAGTGGCACCACCTCCCTGAGTTTCTTTCCTTCTCCAAATCCTAAACCAGTAATCCTTCCCTATGTTGTCAGATCTCCACTTCCTTCAGATGCTTTTAGAATTTATTCTGCTTTTTTAGAGGCACTCAGTAAAAGAGTTGGCTAGAGTTACCTAGTTCACTATTACTGGAAGGGAAGTCTTAATGATTTTTTTTTAATGTAAACGACTAAAGAGTAATGGAATTAAAAATTCTCAAAACACTTATTTTTTGAATATTTTATGTATACTTTAAAGTTACAAACTATGCATATATGCATATTTTTGACCCTATTACATTTACATAGATTTAAGTTAGAATTTAAGATATGTTTGTTTACTATATCATTAAAATATAAATCTTGTATCTTAAATTTACCAAGAGATTCTTTTTATTCATTTCATTCTCAAATGAAATATACTTAATACAGAAATTATTAATATCATGTAGTCTGTATCTTCCCATTGCAATGTTAACATAAAACCCAGGATCTTCTCTTTTTTGTTGACTCTTATACCTCAGTACCTAGTGAAGTGTCTGGCCCACATTAGAGAAGCAAACGAATCTTTGCTGAGTGAATGAATGCCGTGTACAAACTATTTGCTTCTATAGTAGTGTCCACTGCACTACTTTTGACAACTTACCTGTTCAGTAAAAATGGTTGCAGATCAGATTGGAAGAATTTTCTAACATAAAGTATTAAACATAGTCGAGTGTTAGACCATTTTTCATGATTTACTGGGTACTAAGTTTTTGCAAATATGTTTTGTAAGCCTAAAATTTTGCAAAATATGGTAAAACCACAAATAATCTCAATAATACTTAGATTCTTGATAGAAAACAAGAAAAGTTTTTGCAGAAAATTTGTGGATAATTACCATGAGTCTAAGAAGCACAAATAATGATGTACAGTTTTTGTGGGACAATTTTCAGACCTTAGAAACTAAGATTTCCTTCCCTATCTAGAAATGTAGGATGGGATATTTATTTTTAAATCCTCAATGGAAAGCTTCTCTGTTGGTGATATTTAGAAAGTCTCATGAATTCACAATACTAAGACAAATATAAAAACCTTTTGTTTTGTCTTTTTTTTTTTTTTTCCTTTTTGTGGAGAACAGGGTCTCACTATATTGCCCAGGCAGGTCTCAAACTCCTGGGCTCAAGTTGTCCTCCCGACTCTGCCTCCCGAAGAGCTGGAACTATAGGCGTGAGCCACCGCACCCGGCAAAACCTTTTTTATTATCCTAAAATATTAGGAAACCCAAGTGAATTATCCCATCAGTGAAAGAGTGTGATATCCCCCCAAAATATTGTTTTAAATACAAATAACTTAAAGTTTAATACATTTTGCATTGCCTGGATTCGGAAATATAAGACAAAGTAAAACAAAACAATGGCAAAAAGAATTCAGTAACACTACTTCATTACTAGGGCTTTGAAATAAATAATAGCTGTCTAAAATTACTGAGTATTCTTATTAAGTTTAAAGTAAGCCAGCCTCTGACTAGCTTGATGCAGTGTAAACCTGTACCCTTTACCCAATTCATTCATTACCACCACGGTGTGTGTGTGTGTGTGTGTGTAATTCTGTACAAATGAGTATGTTTTAAAGTTTTATTGAGGCATAATTAACATACAATAAACTGTACATAAAGTGTAAAATTTGGTAAGTTTTGACATATGTATATACTTAAGAAACCATCACCAAAATCAAGATAAATATATTCCTCACCATTGAAAAATTTCTACATATGCCTTTATAATCCTTCACTTCTGTCCTCCCCATACCACCTGAGCTGTTCCTAGGCAACCACTAATCTTATTTATTTCTTTCTCTATAAACTAGTTTGCATTATTTTATGATATTAAATAAATTGATCATACAATATGTATGTACTCTTTTTGAGTCAACATATTTATTTTGAGATTTGTCCATGTTGCAGCATATACCAATAGTTAATTTCTTTTTATTTCTGATTAGATGGATACATGACAATTTTTCAATCCATTCAGCTACTGATGGGCATTCAGGTTGTTTCATTGTTGAAAGTATATGTCCATACAAAGACTTGTATATAATGATGCTAAAAGACTATGCACAGTCTTTGCATGGTTATAGACTTTGTTTCTCTTGGGTTAATTCCCAGTGGTATAATGGCTGGATTATATGAATGGTTGTATGTTTAATTTTTAGCAAAACTGCCAAGCAGTTTTGCAAAACAGTTGTACCATTTTACGTTCTTACAAGTAGCATATGAGAATCAGATTTTCTCTGCATCATTGACAAAATTTGTTGTTTTTTTATTTGAGTTATTTCAATAGGCATGTAGTGCTATATAATTGTGGTTTTAATAAGTGTTTTCATTACGACTACTGATGTTGATCATCTTCTCAAGTGCTACTTTCCATCTATATATCTATATATCTTCTTTCATGAAGCTTGCATTCAAATGCTTTGCCCAATTTTTCTTGTTCTTTTTCTTATTATTATGTTTATAATTTTATGTATATTCGATACAATTGCCTTATCAGATATATGACTTACAAATTTTGCCCCCATTGGTGGCTTAACATTTCATTTCATGAACAATGTTTTGCTGATGAAGTCAAATGTTTTTCTTTTATCGATCAAGCTTTTGATGTCATTTATACCAAACTCCAGGTCACAAAAATTTTATATTTTCTTTTAGAAATTTTATAGTTTTAGGATTTACATTTAGGTTTATGATTTATTCTGAGCTAGTTTATTTTTATTATTATACTTTAAGTTTTAGGGTACATGTGCACAACATGCAGGTTTGTTACATATGTATACATGTGCCATGTTGGTGTGCTGCACCCATTAACTCGTCATTTAGCATTAGGTATATCTCCTAATGCTATCCCTCCCCCCTCCCCACATGCCACAACCATCC
The DNA here is from genome assembly GCF_000001405.40 of Homo sapiens. Classification (NCBI taxonomy): domain Eukaryota; kingdom Metazoa; phylum Chordata; class Mammalia; order Primates; family Hominidae; genus Homo; species Homo sapiens. The sequence goes on from NC_000006.12 coordinate 124,407,368, forward strand.
CCTGTGTGTGATATTCCCCTTCCTGTGTCCTTGTGTTCTCATTGTTCAATTCCCACCTATGAGTGAGAACATGCGGTGTTTGGTTTTTTGTCCTTGCAATAGTTTGCTGAGAATGATGGTTTCCAGCTTCATCCATGTCCCTGCAAAGGACATGAACTCATCATTTTTTATGGCTTCATAGTATTCCATGGTGTATATGTGCCACATTTTCTTAATCCAGTCTATCATTGTTGGACATTTGGGTTGGTTCCAAGTCTTTGCTATTGTGACTAGTGCCGCAATAAACATACGTGTGCATGTGTCTTTATAGCAGCATGATTTATAATCCTTTGGGTATATACCCAGTAATGAGATGGCTGGGTCAAATGGTACTTCTAGTTCTAGATCCCTGAGGAATGGCCACACTGACTTCCACAATGGTTGAACTAGTTTACAGTCCCACCAACAGTGTAAAAGTGTTCCTATTTCTCCACATCCTCTCCAGCACCTGTTGTTTCCTGACTTTTTAATGATTGCCATTCTAACTGGTGTGAGATGGTATCTCATTGTGGTTTTGATTTGCATTTCTCTGATGGCCAGTGATGATGAGCATTTTTTCATGTGTTTTTTGGCTGCATAAATGTCTTCTTTTGAGAAGTGTCTGTTCATATTATTTGCCCACTTTTTGATGGGGTTGTTTGTTTTTTTCTTGTAAATTTGTTTGAGTTCATTGTAGATTCTGGATATTAGCCCTTTGTCAGATGAGTAGATTGCGAAAATTTTCTCCCATTCTGTAGGTTGCCTGTTCACTCTGATGGTAGTTTGTTTTGCTGTGCAGAAGCTCTTTAGTTTAATTAGATCCCATTTGTCAATTTTGGCTTTTGTTGCCATTGCTTTTGGTGTTTTAGACATGAAGTCCTTGCCCATGCCTATGTCCTGAATGGTATTGTCTAGGTTTTCTTCTAGGGTTTTTATGGTTTTACATCTAACATGTAAGTCTTTAATCCATCTTGAATTAATTTTTGTATGAGGTGTAAGGAAGGGATCCAGTTTCAGCTTTCTACACATGACTAGCCAGTTTTCCCAGCACCATTTATTAAATAGGGAATCCTTTCCCCATTGTTTGTTTTTGTCAGGTTTGTCAAAGATCAGATAGTTGTAGATATGCGGCATTATTTCTGAGGGCTCTGTTCTGTTCCATTGATCTATATGTCTGTTTTGGTACCAGTACCATGCTGTTTTGGTTACTGTAGCCTTGTAGTAAAGTTTGAAGTCAGGTAGTGTGATGCCTCCAGCTTTGTTCTTTTGGCTTAGGATTGTCTTGGCAATGTGGGCTCTTTTTTGGTTCCATATGAACTTTAAAGTAGTTTTTTCCAATTCTGTGAAGAAAGTCATTGGTAGCTTAATGGGGATGGTATTGAATCTATAAATTACCTTGGGCAGTATGGCCATTTTCACGATATTGATTCTTCCTACCCATGAGCATGGAATGTTCCTCCATTTGTTTATATCCTCTTCTATTTCATTGAGCAGTGGTTTGTAGTTCTCCTTGAAGTGGTCTTTCACATCCCTTGTAAGTTGGATTCCTAGGTATTTTATTGTCTTTGAAGCAATTGTGAATGGGAGTTCACTCATGATTTGGCTGTTTGTCTGTTATTGGTGTATAAGAATGCTTGTGATTTTTGCACATTCATTTTGTATCCTGAGACTTTGCTGAAGTTGCCTATCAGCTTAAGGAGATTGTGGGCTGAGACAATGGGGTTTTCTAGATATACAATGATGTCGTCTGCGAACAGGGACAATTTGACTTCCTCTTTTCCTAACTGAATGCCGTTTATTTCCTTCTCCTGCCTGATTGCCCTGGCCAGAACTTCCAACACTATGTTGAATAGGAGTGGCGAGAGAGGGCATCCCTGTCTTGTGCCAGTTTTCAAAGGGAATGCTTCCAGTTTTTGCCCATTCAGTATGATATTGGCTGTGGGTTTGTCATAGATAGCTCTTATTATTTTGAGATACGTCCCATCAATAACTAATTTATTGAGAGTTTTTAGCATGAAGGGTTGTTGAATTTTGTCAAAGGCCTTTTCTGCATCTATTGAGATAATCATGTGGTTTTTGTCTTTGGTTCTGTTTATATGCTGTATTACGTTTATTGATTTTCCTATGTTGGACCAGCCTTGCATCCCAGGGATGAAGCCCACTTGATCATGGTGGATAAGCTTTTTGATGTGTTGCTGGATGCGGTTTGCCAGTATTTTATTGAGGATTTTTGCATCAATGTTCATCAAGGATATTGGTCTAAAATTCTCTTTTCTTGTTGTGTCTCTGCTAGGCTTTGGTATCAGGATGATGCTGCCTCATAAAATGAGTTAGGGAGGATTCCCTCTTTTTCTATTGATTGGAATAGTTTCAGAAGGAATGGTACCAGCTCCTCATTGTACCTATGGTAGAATTCGGCTGTGAATCCATCTGGTCCTGGACTTTTTTTGGTTGGTAATCTATTAATCATTGCCTCAATTTCAGAGCCTGTTACTGGTCTATTCAGAGATTCAACTGCTTCCTAGTTTAGTCTTGGGAGGGTGTATGTGTCGAGGAATTTATCCATTTCTTCTAGATTTTCTAGTTTATTTGCATAGAGGTGTTTATAGTATTCTCTGATGGTAGTTTGTATTTCTGTGGGATCGGTGGTGATATCCCCTTTGTCATTTTTTATTGTGTCTATCTGATTCTTCTCTCTTTTCTTCTTTATTAGTCTTGCTAGTGGTCTATCAATTTTGTTGATCTTTTCAAAAAACCAGCTCCTGGATTCATTGATTTTTTGAAGGGTTTTTTGTGTCTCTCTCTCCTTCAGTTCTGCTCTGATCTTAGTTATTTCTTGCCTTCTGCTAGCTTTTGAATGTGTTTGCTCTTGCTTCTCTAGTTCTTTTAATTGTGATGTTAGGGTGTCAATTTTAGATCTTTCCTCCTTTCTCTTGTGGGCATTTAGTGCTAAAATTTCCCTCTACACACTGCTTTGAATGTGTCCCAGGGATTCTGGTATGTTCTGTCTTTGTTCTCATTGGTTTCAAAGGACATCTTTATTTCTGCCTTCATTTCGTTATGTACCCAGTAGTCATTCAGGAGCAGGTTTTTGTTTAGTTTCCATGTAGTTGAGCGGTTTTGAGTGAGTTTCTTAATCCTGAGTTCTAGTTTGATTGCACTGTGGTCTGAGAGACAGTTTGCTATAATTTCTGTTCTTTTACATTTGCTGAGGAGAGCTTTACTTCCAACCATGTGGTCAATTTTGGAATACATGTGGTGTGGTGCTGAAAAGAATGTATATTCTATTGATTTGGGGTGGAGAGTTCTGTAGATGTCTATTAGGTCCGCTTGGTGCAGAGCTGAGTTCAATTCCTGGATATCCTTGTTAACTTTCTGTCTCGATCTGTCTAATGTTGACAGTGGGGTGTTAAAGTCTCCCATTATTATTGTGTGGGAGTCTAAGTTTCTTTGTAGTCACTCGGGGCTTGCTTTATGTGCTCCTGTATTGGGTGCATATATATTTAGGATAGTTAGTTCTTGTTGAATTGATCCCTTTACCATTATGTAATGGCCTTCTTTGTCTCTTTTGATCTTTGTTGGTTTAAAGTCTGTTTTATCAGAGACTAGGATTGCAACCCCTGCCTTTTTTTGTTTTCCATTTGCTTGGTAGATCTTCCTCCATCCCTTTATTTTGAGCCTATGTGTGTCTCTGCACGTGAGATGGGTTTCCTGAATACAGCACACTGATGGGTCTTGACTCTTTATCCAGTTTGCCAGTCTGTGCCTTTTAATTGGAGCATTTAGCCCATTTACATTTAAGATTAGTATTGGTATGTGTGAATTTGATCCTGTCATTATGATGTTAGCTGGTTATTTTGCTCGTTAGTTGATGCAGTTTCTTCCTAGCCTTGATGGTCTTTACAATTTGGCATGTTTTTGCAGTGGCTGGTACCGGTTGTTCCTTTCCATGTTTAGTGCTTCCTTCAGGAGCTCTTTTAGGGCAGGCCTGGTGGTGACAAAATCTCTCAGCATTTGCTTGTCTGTAAAGTATTTTATTTCTCCTTCACTTATGAAGCTTAGTTTGGCTGGATATGAAATTCTGGCTTGAAAATTCTTTTCTTTAAGAATGCTGAATATTGGCCCCCAGTCTCTTCTGGCTTGTAGAGTTTCTGCTGAGAGATCAGCTGTTAGTCTGATGGGCTTCCTTTTGTGGGTAACCTGACCTTTCTCTCTGGCTGCCCTTAACATTTTTTCCTTCATTTCAACTTTGGTGAATCTGACAATTATGTGTCTTGGCGTTGCTCTTCTCGAGGAGTATCTTTGTGGCGTTCTCTGTATTTCCTGAATTTGAATTTTGGCCTGCCTTGCTAGATTGGGGAAGTTCTCCTGGATAATATCCTGCAGAATGTTTTCCAGCTTGGTTCCATTCTCTCCGTCACTTTCAGGTACACCAATCAGACATGGATTTGGTCTTTTCACGTAGTTCCATATTTCATGGAGGCTTTGTTCATTTCTTTTTATTCTTTTTCTCTAAACTTCTCTTCATGCTTCATTTCATTCATTTTGTCTTCCATCGCTGATACCCTTTCTTCCAGTTGATTACATTGGTTACTGAGGCTTGTGCATTCATCACGTGGTTCTCGTGCCGTGGTTTTCAGCTCCATCAGGTCCTTTAAGGACTTCTCTGCATTGGTTATTCTATTTATCCGTTCATCTAATTTTTTTTCAAAGTTTTTAACTTCTTTGCCATTGGTTTGAACTTCCTCCTTTAGCTCGGAGTAGTTCGATCTTCTGAAGCCTTCTCTCAACTCCTCAAAGTCAGTCTCCGTCCAGCTTTGTTCCATTGCTGGTGAGGAGCTGTTCTTTTGGAGGAGGAGATGTGCTGTGAATTTTAGAGTTTCTGGTTTTTCTGCTCTGTTTTTTCCCCATCTTTGTGGTTTTATCTACTTTTGGTCTTTGATGATGGTGACGTACAGATGGGTTTGGTGTGGATGTCCTTTCTGTTTGTTAGTTTTCCGTCTGACAGTCAGGACTCTCAGCTGCAGGTCTGTTGGAGTTTGCTGGAGGTCCACTCTAGACCCTGTTTGCCTGGGTATCAGCAGTGGTGGCTGCAGAACAGCGGATATTGGTGAACCGCAAATGCTGCTGCCTGATTGTTCCTCTGGAAGTTTTGTCTCAGAGGAGTACCCGGCCGTGCGAGGTGTCAGTCTGCCCCTACTGAGGGGTGCCTCCCAGTTAGGCTACTCAGGGGTCGGGGACCCACTTGAGGAGGCAGTCTGCCCATTCTCAGATCTCAAGCTGCGTGCTGGGAGAACCACTACTCTCTTCAAAGCTGTCAGACAGGGACATTTAAGTCTGCAGAGGTTACTGCTGTCTTTTGTTTGTCTGTGCCCTGCCCCCAGAGGTGGAGCCTACCTAGGCAGGCAGGCCTCCTTGATCTGTGGTGGGCTCCACCCAGTTCGAGCTTCCTGGCTGCTTTGTTTACCTACTCAAGCCTGGGCAATGGCGGGCGCCCCTCCCCGAGCCTCCCTGTCACCTTGCAGCTTGATCTGAGACTGTTGTGTTAGCAATGAGCAAGGCTCCATGGGCGTAGGACCCTCCGAGCCAGGTGCAGGAGATAATCTCCTGGTGTGCCGTTTGTTAAGCCCGTTGGAAAAGTGCAGTATTAAAGTGGGAGTGACCCGATTTTCCAGGTGCTGTCTGTCACCCCTTTCTTTGACTAGGAAAGGGAATTCCCTGACCCCTTGCACTTCCCGGGTGAGGTGATGCCTCACCCTGCTTCGGCTCACACACGGTGAGCTGCACCCCATGTCCTGCAGCCACTGTCCGGCACTCCCCAGTGAGATGAACCCAGTACCTCAGTTGGAAATGCAGAAATCACCTGTCTTCTGCGTCGCTCTTTTTGTTTAAGAATTGACGTTCATTCTTTTAAGTATGCAGATTTTCAATTGTTGTGGCACCGTTTATTGAAAAGCCTGTTCTTTCTTCACTCCTCTGTGCCTTTGTCTAAAGTCCATTGTCTATATATGTGTAGGTCTATTTGATCTCACTGATATATCTTTATATCAATACCACGCTGTATTGATTTCTGTAACTTTTTATTGAAATCAGATGGTATTTGTCCTCCAATTTTGTTCTTTTTCAAAGATGTTTTGGTGCTTTTCAAAGTTTTGTGTTTCCATACAAATTTCAGAATAAAATAGTCAGTGTCTCAAAATATCTTGCTGGGATTGGGATAGGGATTGCACTAAAGCTATCAGTAAAGTTTGGGGGAACTGACATTCTAATAATATTAAGTGTTCTGGACTATAAAGGTGATATATTGCTCCACTTACTTTGTCATCTTCAATTTTTCTCAGCAATGGAAAATATACATATCTTTCAGATCATTTGTTGAATTTACCCCTAAATATTTCATATTTTTGATCATACTGGAAATGGTATTTTTATTTCCATATATGATTGTGTATTGCTAATATATAGTAATTCAGCTGATTTTTATATTGACATTGTAATTTATGAACATACTAAACTCATTTATTAGATCCAGAAGCACTTTTTGTAGATCTATGGGATTTTCTACATAGATAATCATGTTGTCTCAAAAAGATAGTTTTACTTTTTTCTGTTGAACCTGAATACTTTGTTCGTTTGTTTTTTTTTTTAATTACATTGCACTAATTAGAACCTCAGTACAATGCTGAATAAGAATGCTGAGAGTAGATATCCTTGTCTTCTTCCTGATCTTAGAGGGAACACATTCAGGGTTTTACCATTAAATAGAATGTTAGCTGTAAATTTTTGGTAAATGCTCTTTATTACATTGAAGAAGTTTCCTTCTGTTTCTTCTTTGTCAACAGTTTTTATCGGAAATGTGTGAATAGATTTTTATAAAATGTTTTTTCTTCACTTATTAAGATGATCACATTTTAGTTTGATAATATCATGAATTATATTGACTTTTGAATTTTAAACAGATGCTTGCTACTGTATTCTTAGAATATTATCCATCTTATATAATGTTGGATTCTATTTGCTAAAATTTTGTTTAGAATTGCTATATCTATGTTCATGAGAGATATTGGTCTATAATTTTCGTTACTTGTATTTCTTGTCCAATCTTGATAGGAGGACAATGCTGGCCTCATAGAAGGAATTGGGAGATAGTCCTTCCACTTAAATTTTCTGTAAGACTGTTTATGGGATTGGTATTTTGCTTTTGCTAAATATTTGTTATAAATCACCAGTGAAGCCATTTGGACTTGGAGTTTATTTTTGGGAAAATTTTTAACTACAATTTCAATTTCTTTATAGATATAGGTTTATTTGGTTTTCTATTTCTTCTTAACTGAGTTTTGATAGTTTGTATCTTTCAAGGAATTTGCACATTTGATTTATTTAATAAGTATTGAATATGTTAGTCCCAAGTTGTTTATATCATTTTAATAGCAGTAGGATTTCCAGTGAAGCTACCCTCTTATTTCTGATATTGTTAACTTGCTAATTTTAAATTATGATTCATAATTAATCTGACTGAATATTTATAATATTATTGATCCTCTCTAAGAATCAGCTTTAAAAAAGAATCATCTTGAGGTTTTGAGTGAAAAAAAAAACTCAAATTGCTTTTTCTATCGTCTCACTCAACAATAGTCAACACAGAAGACTTCTGTGAGCAAATATTTGGGGATTTCTCTCCACCAACAGGAAAGTAATGCATTCTGCAGCAGACAACAGCTGGGTATCATTTAATTTAGTTCAATCCAGACACTATCCACCTGCAGATAGCATCAGATTCCACAGATTTAGGTCTCAGTCTCATAAGACTGCCCTCAATTCAGATGCTAATAGCAAGCTCCTGGTGGTTTTGTCTGTGCTTCTGACCAACTGACTACAAATTGGGGATCCCACTCTCCCCTTCTTGAAGTTGACTAATTTTCTAGAATGGTTCAGAGAACTCAGGACCACACTTACTTTCATTCAACAACTCATTATAAACTATATTACAAAGGATACAGATAAAGAGATGGATAAGGCGAGGCATGGGGGATGGAGTGTGGAGCTTCCAAGCCATCCTGGCTATGCCACCCTCCAGGAACCCACATGCGTTCAGCTATCCAGAAGTATCCAGAAGCTCTGTGAATCCTGTCCTTCTGTGTTTTTATGGAGGCTTCATTATGTGGGCATGATTGATTAAACCAATGGCCATTGAGAATCAATTTTACCTTCATCCCCTATTTCTCCTAGATGATTGGAGGGTGAGACTGAAAGTCTCAATCCTCTATTCCTTCCTTGGTCTTTCTGGTAACCAGCCTTCATCCTGAAGCTACCTAGGAGGTGTCAACCATCAGTCAACTCATGAGCATACAAAAACCCATCACTTTAGAGACTCTAAGGACTTTAGGAGTTATAGGCCTGGAAATGGGGTCAAACCAACTATGTATTTTAACAATAGCATAGGTTTCATTGATTTTTATTTGCTTTTTTTTTTAATTTGCTTTTTTTATTTGCTTTTTTTTTTTTTTTTTGCTAATTTCTCATCACAGAATGTTAAAGTCTTATCTTCTCCTCTGTGACTCCAACAACACAAATATTTGATCTTTGGTTATAGTCCTGCATGTCCCTGAGCCTCTGTTCATTTTTTTTAAAATTTAAGTTTATTGCACAGCGTTTCTCCTTCTGGAAAGATAGACAACAATTTTTTCTATTTCTCCCACTAAGGATAACTAAGACCTCTGGACATAATACAAACAAGCATAAGAAAACCCTGAAAGGCCAAGAGAAGAGGTGACCACCTGTATTCCCAAAGAATTGCATGGCCAGCATGGCATTGAGTAGCCTGGATTTTCTTTGTACTTCAAATAATTTAAACTGGGTAACAATAACAGTTTATCTGGATCATAAAAACAAAGAGAAATCTCCTCACCTAAGTTATATGTGCATTTTTCTGGCATAAAATTTGGAATTCAGTAGCACCTTATTAAAGTGGTATCAGGCCAGCTATGGTGGCCCATACCTGTAATTGTAGCACTTTGGGAGGAGGCCAAGGCACAAACTCAGGAGTCTGAGACCAGCCTGGGCAACATAGCAAAACCCTGTCTTTACAAAAATAAAAATAAAAATTAGCCAAGCGTGATGGCATGCACCTGTAGTCCCGGCTGCTTGGTAGGCTGTGGCCAGAGGACTGCTTGAGCCCAGAAGATTGAGGTTGTGATGATCCAGGATAGTGCCACTGCACTCTAGCCTGGGTGACAAAGCAAGACTCTCAAAACAAACAAACAAATAATGAAAATAAAGTAGTGTCAGAGGAGATATAGTGAAGAGTCATGACATTCATCACCACTCAGCAGTGAAGAGGCAACACCCCTTCTCCTGCCCCTGTGTGAATAGGGGAACATGGGGAGCAGTAATGGGGTACTCTTCCTGTCCAGCCAAGGTGGTATCAGTAGAGATCTAGTGGGGAGCCTGAACTCCACCCTCATCCATCAGTTATAAGGAACCCTCCCCTCTACAGACCAGGATTTCAGCATAGGGCAAGTGGAGATACTGCACTTTTACTCCCACTTAGCAGCAATGAAATGGTTTCATGCATGCTTCCCCCAGTGGAGCAGTGTCAGAGAAGGCCTGCTGAAACCCACAAATAAACGAGGTCCAGAATCTTATAACATAATACCAAATAATCTTGTTTTCAATTAAAGAAATCACTTAGCATATTAAGAATTAGGCAGACATCAAAATGTATGAGAAAAGATGATAAATAGATGGCATACTGAGAGGACAGCTGTTAAATGATTTGACAAAGATTTTAAAATATCCATGACAAAGTGCTTTAACAAGCAATTACGGACACATCTGAAACAAATAGAAAACAGAAAGTTTCAACAAAATCTGAAAGTCTTAACAAAGATATAGAATATAGAGAATCAAATGGAAATTTCAGAATGAAAAAATACATTTAAACACTCAGTGGATGGACTCAAAAGCAGAATAGAGAAAACAGAAGGAAGAATAAGTGTAGTTGAAGATAAAACAATAGAAATTAACCCCTCTGAACAACAGAGAGAAATAGACTGTAATATGTAAAAAATATTTACACATATTATCATTTTCTGCTAATCTTGCTTATTTATTTATTTATTTATTTATTAACTTTAAAGCATTTTGATATTTTTACTTTGGTTCTAAATAAAGTATTCTTTCCCTAAAAATAGTATACGTGTTGTAGACCAAACGTCCTAATACCATAATTGAGATTAAAAATCTTTGTATCTGAGCCCTTCTACTCTATGTTTTGTGACTTTGTCTTCAGAACACTCTTTGTAGAACTCATAGGCATATTTTGAACGTGATGGTGGCCAAAGTGAACAATGCTGTTTCCTCTGTCTCAGGCTTTCTTCAGCCTGGAGTTGTCAAGTGAAAATTCCAGGGTCTCTTTCACATTCTCTATTTTACTTTCTCTTCTAATGCTGTCCAGTAGGTATCAAGGAATTACAAGACATCCTGGTGGACAATAGCCAGAATTTCCTCTTTTTTATGGTGAAATATAAAGTTATAGTTAAAGGGAATGAGATTCAGAATCAGATAGACAGGGTTGAAATTCTTCCATTCCCCATTCTTAACTGTGTCACACTGAACAAGGTAGTTAATTGCTTGCTTATTATGACCCAGGTTTGCATATACAATAATATAAAAGTTCAGCAGCTTGAGAGACTTATTAGGCATTAAATATATTTCAGCTTCGCTTTCATTCCTGGCCAAAAAAAATGTTATGAACAATGTCCCTGTGTGGACTGTGTGTGTGTGTGTGTGTCTGTGTGTGTGTGTGTTTGTATGGTGTGTGTTCCATGTAACTCAGGGTACTTAAAAGTTCAGAGTAACTTGTAACAAACCAGTTTAAAGCCAGGCTAAGACAATATTTTATAAAGGAATGATTTGTCTAGCTTTCTTGTTCTGAACACAAAATAATATTTTGTTGTATGACATAGGTCGGGTCTTCCAAGATGATTTTCAGATCCCTGCAGCATTGGACTCTGAAGATTACGGAGCATTTTGTTAGAATAACTGAACCCTTATTCTGAAATGGGAACTATACATATAGTTTATATAGTATATATATATAGTTTATTTATATATATAGTTTATATATGATATATATACTTTATAAACAAAAGGGATTATATATTATATATATAAAATATATATATAATATCTATAAACTATATATATAAAACTATACAGTTAACTTGAGCAAATCGTATACAACAAACTAGAACTATCACGTAGTGCATGCCATTACTGTGCTTTCTCCTCATTTGGAAGCTGAAATGATTTCTTACACCTTGTGTCCAAGATAATGAGGTATTGTGTTTCTTTGAACTCTCCCTAACAATGTGTTTTTCCAGTACTGATTGTTGATGTCCTGTTAGCACTCTTATCCTGTTCTGTCCTGACTGGAATAACGGATCATTTGATTTGGTTCTTTTACTAGTGTTCAATCTTTTGCATATGCGAATGATTCTCATTACACACAGTCTATATCAAATGGTTTCTCAGGGGACTTTACATCTTTCTTACATGCTTTGCAAAATTCTTTAATATTTTTGGCCTAAGAAGGGTAATGATTCTCTCTAAAATGACTATCCATTGTCTGAGTGTCTGCTTCCCATTCTGTGATTTGCATTTACTCTGCCTGTTTTAATGTTGTTGTTTTTTCTCAAACTGAGAGAAAATTAATTTGCCTCCACTTCTAAGCATCTGGGCCTCATAGAGGAATCTTCTTTCACTTTCTCTCTCTCCCTCTTCATCTTTTCTTTTTGAATCTACTTTATTCTTCTCTAGTCTTGTTTCTCTTTCTCCTTACCCCAAGCTTCACTTCTCTGTGTTATTTGCAAAGTAACCTCTATTAATCTCATGGTCTAGAAGCACTGCTGGTGAAGAAACAGTGACTCTGAAGTCTCATCTGATCACCTGCCATAGTATCAAACATGTCTAACACCAGATCTGTCATGACAAGTTTTCCAAAATTCCAGTGAGAAATGAAACTCAATAGCTAAAGGACTTCGTTCCTTGTAGTTTGGTGGGATTCATAACCAAGGTGCTCTGCTGCTAGGGAATAGGAACATTGCAGACACTTAGTTACCTAAGAAGGAGGCTGCTGAATTCCAAATTTCACACCAGAAAAATGCATATACAGTGTGTGTGAGGATATTTCTATCTTTCTATGATCCAAATTAACTCTTACTGCTACTTAGAAAGCAACAAGTTCATAGTCCTGAAATGACCCATTCATTGAGAAACAATAGAAGACATAAGATAATATTTTATTGCAAATAGTAGTCTACATTCCCTCTTTGTTCCTTTCTGAATTATTTTTCAGATCTAGTAATACTTTCTTTTTTATATGTCATGGATGAGTTTTTAGAAGTCGCTCTTACTAAGGAGAGGAACAAAAAAAGTGACCTTAATTGTGATGTCTTTGTAGTTATAATATCTTTAACTACAAATACAAGATTCTGAAGCACTGCTGACAGTATGAAAATTTTGCACACTGTCTGTCTTGTCAGCAAGATTTCTTCCTTTTTTTTCCCGGAATATCCTGGAATATGATCATTTGAATAGACTGTTCATATAGGGAGGAGAGGAACTGATTAAGAAGAATTAGAAAAAATATACTGTTAAGTTAGCCAGGGTGAGTTAAAGATCATTAAACTTGGTTATATACTCTTTAAAAATGGAAAAGAAAAATCAAACAATAACTTCAGAAAAATAGTTACTTAAAAGACAGGCTTTTGATGACAGCTTATGAAAAATCAAATATTCTTTTCTGTGGGCATTAATGCATTATGAAGGACTCCCTTTTGTTCTGACACTTGAAGTAGGAAACCATTTCCTTTGTCTTGGCCTTACTCTCTGTATTGTTGCCTAGAAACACAGTCTTTTAGAGACATTTGCCCATCAAAGTGCAGATAAGGTAACACATTTACTTTTCAAATGAAAATTACTAGAAAGAAGTGAAGTGAAGGTAGGTTAAACAAAATGAGTTTTTTGTTATGTGTAGGTAGAGCCTAAAATTACTCACACTACCTGCGTACAAATACCGAAGAATTAAGTATAATCACAAAGAAAAGCATAAAGCTATAGGGTGATTTCTTTTTTAAGAAAGCAAAAAATAGGCTTCTCAGTGTTAAAATTGTTAAAGGAACCATATGTAGAAGCTCATTATCTGCACAGTAAAACGATTAACAGTTGACTATATGCCAAGCATTTTCTCTTTGAATGTTCCAACATTATCCCAGATTGTTTGAGATTGGCCAACTGTTGCTAATCCATTTGCTTTGCGGGGTCACATCAAAGACATCCAAAGAGTCTGGTCAAAGGATGAGGTTGTGTTTGTCTATGGATTATTTTATATTGTTTATTCTGCTTTTGTATAGCTTTATCTTCCTTTCCATAAGATATAATTATTTTTTAATACTCAGGATAAAATTATCACTACAAATTCTACTCACTCACTAGGACGAGTAGCATTTGTTGTTATGAGTAGAATTTGTACTAGAAAAAAAGTAGATGGCTGCAATAAATATTTCACCACATGCATACGTGATATAAAATGCACTTCCTGTACTCATTTCTCATTAGAAGTTTAGCCACGAAGTAGCTTTTCAAGAAAATTCAGGGGATCATATAATAGCTGGCACTGTCAAAATTAAAAAAAAAAAAAAAAAAAACATGTTTTCTCTCAGTTGGACCCATTGTCCTTGAAGAAATATCCTGAGTGATTAATTCATCTTGGTTTTCTCTCTAGAAAGTAGGGTTTTTTCCACTTCTCCCCACTGCTATTCGTGTGCTTTACTCATGGGGACCCTCACTGTAACTGGTAACCAAAATCATGACCAAAAGAATATTAACTCTTTTAACTCCTCTCAAAAGGTTAAGATGAAAGATGGTTTATACTTCCAAAAAGTGGTGTGTATTAACCTCCAAGTAAGGAATTAGTAGTGATTACACGTGGAGATGACGTCTCAGTTACCCAGAACCTATCCATATGAAAGCATTTCTATTAGGGCACTTCTTTGGATACCATCCACGCACAGCAGAAATGTTCAACTAAAACTTTTGTGTTGAATCAAACTTGGTTTATTACAGTAACTCTGACAAGGACTTAACTATAACATTTTAATAGGTTCTACAGTAAATAAGTCACTATTACTATCTTTTTTTTGTTTTGTACTAGCAAAGATAATCACTTGTGATTCCATGTTGTAACTCACATGAGGGTTAATGATGTGCTGTGGAAATGCAGTGTGAGTTCACAATAAGGGTAGCAAATGGTGGGAAAGTGACTAGGAAGCATATGAGGAAAACTAATAGAAGGTAAGGGTTATTTTATTAAGGTTTGTACAGATTCATTTTCAAATTGACTCACATTTCCAGAGATGAGTGTTCTCCTCTTCCTGCAGGGAAGGGTTCTTTCTCGCGGGAAACGTATGTCCGGCGTGATTTTAGGAAGAAAGGGAGAGGTCAGAGAGCCCTTCTCGCATCTGCTGTTTCTCAATTGCCTTCTGTTCAAAATAGTTAATTTGCCAAAGTGGCGTATTTTGGGGTGACATATTCTGGTCCCCTTCAGTAGGAAATTATTTTAAACAAATGAATAATTGAATTAGGAGGGAGGATGAAGCAAGATGCAAATGAAATTGCTTATAGAATGACAGAAAAAATAAAAGTATAATTTGAGAGGTATTAAATAGTTTATGGTATAAAATATTAAATAATATTAATGTGATTTATTTTTAATTTAGTATATGTCAGTTCTGTTATTTGGCCCAAGATACTCATTTCAATTGAACTTTTTATATAATGGCAACTGAATTAGACATACTGATAATTGCCTTCTTTGTGGGATCTCTTAAGTAAGTTACCAAATTGAAAAGACAATAGCAAATAATTCCCATACTTTTAAAGGCCAAGCAGAAGAACAATAAAAAACTTGGAATACATTTCTAAAGAAAGATTGAGTTTTGAAACAACTTGGATATTTTTATATCCCATTGCCTGCATGCCCTAACCATTGTTAGCGTCTTTGGCTATTAATCCTATTATCTTTGTTCAAATTATTACTGTGTACTATCTCAGAAAGATTAGTATTTTTATCTTTTTTTTTCCATCTTTGTTCTAAATTTACAAGTGAGATTACCACACTCAAATTTGGCTTAATAGATTATTCATGCCTAACTAATGAATTAAATGGATTTTGTCTTTGGCCTTTGCCTGAAAAGAAAAACAAAACAACAAAACAACAATTACAAAAAACAGCAATAAAAGCAGCTTACTTGCAATCTGGATCACATATCCTCTTTATTTTACTATTCTCAACAGGGTTAGAATTGCATTGAGCCAAGATGCAGCAGTGCTGTGCTGAAGTTGTTTGTCTTTTAAGGTTCAGTGAAAATCACTGTGAGGTTCTGACCTTTCCAACAGATAGTATGTGTTTGGGGACTGTTACAGTATTTGCGATGAGTTCCTCAGGATCTTATTATAAATGGTTGAGTAAATCTCCAAACCCTCAACTTCATGACATACAAAAGAAAATTATTTTCAAAATAAGAACTAATTCCCGAGATAAAAATAGGAAAACACATACATTTTTGCAAGCTAGTCAAGAAAAATCATTGAATTTAACTGCATTTCACATCTAAATAGTTTAAACATTTCTGTTGCTGATATTGATTGTCAAATACAAATGCACACCTGTGCTCTTTCCTGTGAGTTCTCAAAGTGATGTACCAGTGCTGGAAATTGAATTTTCTATTTTTTCATATTTTAGTGACCAAAATCATTGAGTGTCATATGAACTATTACTATTAATTAAGAAATAATAAAGAAGAATATACAAGCATTGATCTTACAGCCAATGAAGCACAGTGAGAAAAGCAAGGGCTTTGGAGTCAGAAAGACCTAGACTCTGAAGTGAATGTAATTGTTAGACATGTAAGTTTGATCAATACATCTTACCTTTGTGAGATTTATGTTCTCCATATGTAAAATGTACATAATAATACCTACCTCATCAGGTTTTCAAAGGAGCACATATTTATGTTTCTAGCCCAATATAGGGACCCAAAAGGTGATGTTAATTTTGACACTACAATCAAAACAAATAAAAAATTAAACAGTGTTGTGGTCTGAATGTGGAACCCCAAATGCATATGTTGAAACTTAATAGCCAACATGATACTATTAAGTGGTGGAAACTTTAGAAGGTGATTAATTCATGAGGGGGCAGAGCCCTCATGGATGGGATTATGGCCCTTATAAAAGGATTTGAAAGAGTGGGTTCCTTTCCTTCCACCTTGTAGGAGCACAGCATTCATCCCTTTCAGGGGATGAAGCAACAGGATGTGATCTTTGAAGCAGAGGGCAGCACTCACCAGACACTGAATCTGCTAGTGCCTGGGCAGATGTCTCTTTGAGATACTGACTTCCTTTCCTGTCCTAGCCTTTAAAACTGTGACAAATAATTTTTTTGTTCTTTATAAGTTATCCAGTCTCAAGTGTTTCCTTAAAGCAGCACGAATAGACTAAGGCAGTATGTAATACATATTATACTGTTGTAAACACTTTTAATTTAACTTTTTTATTTTTTTGAGACAAGAGTCTGGCTCTGTTGCCCAGGCTGGAGTTCAGTGGCGCATTCTCGGCTCACTGCAAGCTCTGCCTCCCGGGTTCACGCCGTTCTCCTGTCTCAGCCTCCTGAGTAGCTGTGACTACAGGTGCCCGCCACCATGCCCAGCTAATTTTTTGTATTTTTAGTAGAGACGGGGTTTCACAGTGTTAGCCAGGATGGTCTCCATCTCCTGACCTCATGATCCGTCTGCTCGGCCTCCCAAAGTGCTTAATTTAACTTTGAATAAAAATTGTCTAAAGGGGTATAATGTGCTGTTTTGATACACATATACAATGAACTGATCACTCCAATAAAACCAATTAACATATTCAGCTCATTACATAGTTACTACTGTGTGTGTGTATGTGTGTGTGTGTGATAAGTACACTTAATATCTACCATCTTAGCAAGTTTCAAACATACAACACAGTATTAACTGTAGTCATCATGCTGTACATTAGAACTCTAGAACTTCTTCATCCTACATAAATGAACTTTTATACCCTTTAACCAACATCTCATTTTCCTCACTCCAACCCCTGAACCATGACTGGACCCCTAGTAACCATCATTCTACTCTCTGCTTCTATTCATTATTATTTTCTTTTTTAGATTCAACATTTAAGTGAGATCATGCAATGTTTTTCTTTTTGTCTGACTTATTTTACTTAGCATAATGACCCCCCCACCAGGTTTATCCGTATTGTCATAAATGGTAGGATTTCCTTCTTTTTAAGGCTGATTAACACTTTGTTTTCTATATGTCTATATGTTCATCTATGATGCACACAGCTTATTTCCTTATCTTGGCTATTGTGAATAATACTGCAATGAACATGAGGATACAGATAACTCTTCAAGATATTGGTTTCTTTTCCTTTGAATATATACCCAGAAGAAGGATTGCTGGATCAATGGTAGTTCTATTTTTAATTTTTTGAGGAACCTCCAAACAGTTTTCCCTATGGCTATACCAATTAACATTCCCAGAGTAGAGAGCCCAGAAATAAATCTATACATATATGGCCAGCTAATTTTCAACCAGGGCACCAAGAAAAAGATCGTTGCAACAATCTTTGGAAAATCCAATCTGCCACATATTTCAAGGGAGAAGACAGTTTTAAGAAGAGAGATAAAGTCATAAGTGTTTATTACCACAGACAGCCTAGGTTACATGAACATTGAAGAAAAAGATAAGTCTTTCAATAAAGAGTGTTGGGAAAACCGGATATCCACATGCAGGAAATGAAATTAGACATGTATCTTATGATATACACAATAATCAATTCGAAATGGGTTAAAGACTTAAATATAAGACCTGAAATCTTAACACTCCTAGAAGAAAATGTAGGGAAAATTTCCATGATATTGGTCTTGGCAGTGACCAAACAAAAGCAACAAAAACAAAAATAAATAAGTAGGGCTACACCAAAATGAAGTTTCTACACAGCAAAGGAAAGTATCAATAATGAAATGGCAAACTACCGACTGGGATGAAGTATTTGCAAACTCTATATCTGATAGGGGTTTAATATTTAAAATATATGAGGAATTTATACAACACAGTAGCAAAAAAATAAATAATAGCCTAATTTAAAAATTGGCAAAGGACCTGAACAGACCTTTCTCCAAAGAAGACGTACCTACCAATGGTCAATAGGTATGTGAAAAAGTGTTCAAGGTCATTCATCACCAGTAAAATGCAAATTAAAAGCACAATGAGTTATGAGCTAATATCTGTTAATGTGGTTATTACCAAAAAGAGAAAAAATAACAAGTGTTGGAGGGTATATTGAGGAATGAGAACCCTTATTGTAAAGACTGTTGACTTATTCACAATATGATTTTTTTGCCTTCTTACCTCTTAAGATTTTTACTTGTATTATTTTTATTTACATATGCATACTCGTTTAACAAGACAAATTGCTCAAGCCAAAAGTGCCAATAAATCCTTAATAGCAAACTACTGGCCTTTATCTTCAATGTTCATGTAACCTAGACTCTTTGTAGTAATAAACACTTATGACCTTTATCTTTCTCCTTAATACTGTCTTCTCCCTTGGAATATGTAGCTGATTGTATTTTCCAAAGATTGTTGCAACAGTAACTCCCATCTCACTTGCCATTCTTATAATATGACTTTATATTTCTTCTACGGAAAGGTGTAGTCTATGTCCCTACTTGTGAAATGCAGAGAGCTACTGTACTTTTCCAGTGGAAGAAAATCTTTGTGATTTTAAATGAGGAAAACATTTTTTGATAAGACACTAAAAACATGATCCACACTTAAAAAATGATAAAACTGACTTTACTGATACTAAAACTTCTGTTCTTCAAAAGAAACTATTAAGAGAATGAAAATAAAATCCACAGGATAGGAGAAAATATTTTCCAATCATGTATCTGGTAAGTTACTTGTATCCAGAATAAGTAAAGAACCCTCAAAAGTTAAGAATTAAAGAAAAAATAAAACAGAGATAAATGATTTAAACAGACCTTTTGCCAAAGAAGATAGACAGATCGAAAATAAGTACCTGAATTAGTCATTAAGAAAGTGCAGTTAAAATCACAATGAGGTACCAATGTACATGGCTAAAATATTTTTTGAAGTAGCACACCAAGTGTTGATAAGGATATAGAAGAACAAGCATACTGATATGGTTTGTCTGTGTCCCCACCCAAATCTCATCTTGAATTATAGCTCCCATAATTCCCACATGTTCTGGGAGCGACTCGGTGGGAGATAATTGAATCATGGCAGTGGGTCTTTCCCATGCCATTCTCATGATAGTGAGTAAGTCTCACGAGATCTGATGGTTTTATAAAGGGGAGTTTCCCTGAACTAGCTCTCTTCTCTTCTCTGCTGCCATGTGAGATGTACCTTTCACCTTCCACCATGATTATGAGGCCTCCCCAGCCATGTAGAACTGTGAGTCCATTAAACCTCTTTCTTGTATAAATTGCCCAGTCTCAGGCATGTCTTTATCAGGAGCCTGGAAATGGACTAATACACATACACTCTGGTGAGATTATAAAATATTACAACCATTTTGGAAAGCAATTCATTTCTTTAAAAGTTAAATATGCACTTATGTTATAACACATATCTTGGATGTTCTACTCCTAGGTATTTGCCCAAGAGAAAATAAAAGTGTATGACAATATAATAAATTGTACATGAATGTTCATAACAGTTTATTTGTAATAGCCAAATATGAAAAATGACCAAATGTTCATCAACAAATGAACAGATAAATTGTGATGTATCCATACCATTCAATGATATTCAGCAATGTAAAGAAAGAACTACTGATATATACAACATGGATAAATCCCAAAATAATCACCATCATCCTAATCATCATCTTGATTATGGTGATGATTTCATACTTGTATGCATAAGCCCAAACTTAAATGGTATACTTTAAATATAAGAAATATTATATGTTAATTATACCTCAGTAAATTCTTTGTAAAATGTAAAACAGCTTCCAGGAGAATCTCATTCTCTTATGCCACTTAACCAGGACTTTTCAGCAAATCATTGAATCTATGTGTCCCTGTTTTCTTGAATAATTTGGATAAAGAATAGTATCAACTACATAGCTTGTTAATCTTGCTTTAGTATTAAATGAGTTAATCTCTGTAAACCCCTTAGAGGTGCCTGAAATACGATCTAAGAATTAGTTATTAGCTACGCTTAATATATAGGAAGAGGCAGCAGGTTCCTCACTGGTCTTATAGACCACATATTTCCCTGATGTGATGGAAGTCTATTTCTTCTTTCAGTGTCACGAAACCACGGAAATAGGTCGTTCGGGGCTACAAAATCTTTGTATTTGGCACAGCTACATGTTGGCAATCTAACAATTTATTTTAAAAATTATTTAAAATAAAATACTTAAAATTAAGTATTACTTAAGTTTTACTTCAAGAAAATGGAATGTCAAAGACAGATTTTTCTAACACTTCCAAAGACATTTTCCATATTTGCTCATTTCCTTTTGGTCTGGGTTCTATGTCACTATAGTGCTCTTTAGCTCAGCAGAATATCTCCTCTATATCTCCATGAATAACTAAAAAAATAGATCCAGCAGGTTTTCAATTGCTAGTCACTACTCAGAAATTTTGTTGTTTTTAAAAATCTTTCATTCTGGAATTCCTTTCACTCCTTCCATCTCCTAAGTACCATAAACTGAGTTTTTAAACATAGCTTTTCATGGAATGAGTACTTCTTACAAAATAGAAAATACCACCGAAGAGCTGGAGACATGTTTCACCCCAACCCCAGATTGCTGGAAATAACTAGGATTCTTCCATACTATATACGACACTTTGTTAACAATATCTCTGGGCTGAGATGCCATATCTGAGAGACCAAACTAAGTATACTTGGTTTTTTATTTAGTGGAACTGAAAGCAGCTGCATTTCTGTTTGAATTGCTCCCTGAGCTCTCCTGCAAATATATAAAGGGATGTTATAAATAAGTTAGAAGTTGATGATTCTCATTTGTCAGTGAGGGCAGCCTAAGTAAAAGCTACAGCAGGAAAAAACAGAAGCAAAATATTAGGAAATCCTTCATAAGTGTAGGGTGAGTTAATCATTCAGAAGCTATTCTCAGAGAACCTGAGGAAATATTTAAGGCTAGGGACAATATCTTTTCTCTGGAAAAGATAGCAAGAAGGAGATATGTCTTTTCCAAGATTAAATACAGGATTTTGTAACTTGATTCTCTGATATTACCAAATTAATTTGAACACTGACACTTCAAGACTAAAGGTATGTGCATCTCTAAGTATGCATGTGTGTGCCCGTGTGCTGATGTGGGGTGTGTATAAGAGGGGTAAAGAATATGCATAGCAGGGTTTTAAATCACCCAGCCCCTTGCTTTCTTGTTCTCACGGGACATGGCTGTATCTGCAGTTCCAGCAGAACTAGCTACTTTCTGTTTTCTGAATATGAATGTTGATATCCATTTGTTCTCATGCATGTGAACTCATACTTTTACTCTTTTTTTTATGTTTTGAGATAGAATTTCACTCGTTACCCAGGCTGGAGTGCAATGGTGGGATCTCTGCTCACTGCAACCTCTGCCTGTTGGGTTCAAGCAGTTCTCCTGCCTCAGCCTCTGGAGTAGCTGGGATCACGGGTGCCCACCACCACTCCTGGCTAATTTTTTTTTTTTTTTCTATTTTTAGTAGAGACGAGGTTTCACTGTTTTGGTCAGGCTGGTCTTGAACTCCTGACCTCATATGATTCACCTGCCTCAGCCTCCCAAAGGCCTGGGATTACTGGCGTGAGCCACTGCGCCTGGCCCATATTTTTTCTTTTTGAATTTCCATTATTTATTTATTAGTTCCATTGCTGCATTGGCTGAGATAACTTCTTCAACCTCCCTAGGCTGATGTGAGAAGTCTCTCCTCTGTGTTCCCATGGCACTTTGTGCATACTTCTGTTGTGGCTAGCCACTCAGTTCTATCAACATCAGTGTGGTTGGCTCTCTCCAGATGGAATCTTTCCAAGACTGGGGTCATATTTTAATTTTCTTTGTATCATTGGTGCTAAGACTGTATTTGGCTTTGTAGTTGGTGTTTTTCATAGGCTTGTGGAATGAAGGACTGAATAAATAAATGAAGAAATGAAACCCTGGGGCTTCAAGAGGCAGTAAACAGGTGCAGTACTTCAGGGGACTTTATTGTGTTGGTGCTGGCACTGGTGACACAGACACTGGTTTACTGTGCTGGTCTCTAGCAGCTACTGCTCCCCTTGCTGCCAGGTCTTTTCACGTCCCTGGGCCTATCCTGAATTGCTGGGGAGTCTGGCAGGGTGATCAGTTGAATGTACTTAAAAAAGTGCAAGATGCTAGAAAGAATTAGCATCGGGGACAGAGCTGAAATAACATGATCAAAATAAGATGAATAAAGAGACATTAAATTTAGGTAG
Organism: Homo sapiens; assembly: GCF_000001405.40. Lineage (NCBI taxonomy): Eukaryota > Metazoa > Chordata > Mammalia > Primates > Hominidae > Homo > Homo sapiens. The sequence goes on from NC_000006.12 coordinate 124,429,975, forward strand.
ATGAAATGAGGCAATAAAAAAGTCAAGGGGAAAAATATGAGAAAGATTTCAAAGGAAAGAGCTGTGCAATAAAGACAAATATTTCAAAATTCTGCAACAACCCAAGAGATCAAATATGTAATGTAAATTGCCAAGTGCAATTATTTTTAAGGAAAATGAATTACTGGAATAATTCCTTGAGGAAATTTACAATATAGAGAATTTTTCTGTCAACTAAAAAAATAAAGTCCTCTTTCATGCTATGATATTTGAGAAAATAGCTCAAGTTATTTTGAAAAGTTTCTCTAGAAATATGTGGTCATAATGGAATCATTCTCACTTTGTGCATATGAGCACATGTTCCTATCATATGTTGCTGTATAGCAAGCTATCCCCAAATTCCAAAATTTAGTGATTTACAATAACAACAATCATTTTACTGTTATCTCTTATGGAGGTTGACTGGGTTCAGCTTGGGAGTTCTCACTTGAGTCCTTCATGTAGTTGCTATCAGAGGACGGTTTGGCCTGCAGTCTTCTAAGGCACACTCACTCACATGTCTGGTAACTGGGCTCATAAGATGCAAATAGCCAGGGGCTGAAACAATCCAGTATCTCCTTCCATCTCTTTACAGTATCTCCATGTGGTTTCTCCAACATGGTAGCTTCAGATAGTATTCTTGCATGGTAGCTCAGAGCTACGAAGATGTATATTTCAAAAAAAAAAAATGGTGGAAATGTATTTCCTGCTTGGCTTCAGTAATCATGCAGTATTATTTCCACCACGTGTATTCCTTGAGAACAGTTACAAAGACTCTCAGGTTCAAGAGGAGGTGACATATACTCCACCTCTCAATGGGTGGACCTTTTAAAACCATCATATACATTTTCTAACACAGAGCAACACGTGCACACACGCGCGCGCACATACACACATGCACACACTTCCTTACAAGCTTTCAGTTACTTGGGTGTCAGGAATTTTCAGCATGATTCAGACATGCTTTTAGAACTGCTCATGTCTTGCTAATATGCATGACCTCCATAGACATGTAAATGGAACTTTATTGAGTGAAAATGGCAATAAGTTAGAATGAGATAACTTCTTCATTGCCTATTTTTAGAGAGACTAATTCCTAGAGAGATTTTACAAAATGCATATGATTGCAGTGGGATTGCGATGCCCATTCTGACACTCTGTAACAGGCAAAGGTTGCTTGGGAAACAGAAACTGCCAACTGTTTTGCATCCAGGGGCTTGTTTGATGGAATAACTGATTTTTCTTGGTCCCTCTTCTCTATTTACTCGTTGCAATATCTCTGGCCAGATTCCCACATGTAGACTTTCTATTTATGCCTTATTTTCCACTCTCTTCAGAAAAATGACTGAAACTACTATCACTCCACTGCAAATCAAAACAAAACCATGAAAGCCAAAGCAGTCACCAAGATTATTCAAAACGTATTTTAAAATAATTACCACCATTGATACCATTACAAATGTCTGATGCCAGTGTTCTTAATCTTTTGTTTTCTATTATTGTCCCGTGAGAATTTCCTTTCCCATGATAGTTGAAACCACAGATATATTATATGCTATATGTATATCTGTGCTTTATACATATAAAATAAGATATTTTAACCCCCTCAAGAGCCAATTTTTCCTCCTTGGGATGATATAACATCTATGGAAAATATATGACCTATAGGTATTGATTTAAACCAATGATTTAATTAATTAGAACAGCAAATGGGAGATACTGCCATCTCAGAGATTCACATCTAAATTTTGACATTTTCTAAGTGTTTGTAACACACACACACATATATAATTGTGTTCATATATCTAAATATCTGTACATAACACATAGGAAACTCCATAAATCCTTATGTAAAGAGATATTTCCACCACCACTAACAGCAACAACAACAAAAAACAAAGAGGAAAAAATAGTTATTTCACATATTTCAGATACTGAAATATATCTGTAAAGGCCAGAATCGTTGTTCAGAAAGAAGACTTTGGGAAACAAGGGAAATAAAAGCCATTGTTTGGCTTTTAGAAATACACAAACTTTGTTAAACTCCCTTCTTAATTTGAATAGGGATCTGTGAGAATAGCAAATTTCAAAAAGGAGATATTGTAAGTGTCACAATTGTGTACATGCCTTGTACATGGAAGCGCTGCATTTACTGCCATGCTTCAGAATCAACCATGCAATGGTCAGGTGGCCCCTTTTTCTGGGTCAGAAAGTCAGGGAATTTCAAAGTTTAAAAGTTGATGACAGTACTATAAGCAGTGAAAGACAGTTTAATCTGTAATGCCCCTCACAGGCAGGCAACATGGGCTTGATATGTTATTGTCAAGCCACATGTGCAGTGTTTTCTGTTCCATAACTAGGTTCAGTTGTGTGCTTTTATAGATCCTCAGTGTACAAATGTATGCATGTTAAATCTTAGGTAGTACTAAGTGCTTTTAGAGAGCTCTATTTAAAATTATAAAGCTTTAGCCAGTCATAGTGGTGTGCGCCTATAAGTCACAGCTTCTCAGGAGGCTGAGGAGGGAGGATCACTTGAGCCTGGAAGGTAGAGGCTACAGTGAACCGTGATTGTGTCACTGCACTCCAGCCTGGGCAGCAGAGCAAGACCTGACTCAAAAATCTAAACAAATAAATAAATAAAATAAAATTATAAAGTTTGAGTGAACCACCATATAGAGAAAGATTTATGTTTAGATTAAAATGAGGATGAAATAAACTGACTAGATCTCCAGCCTCTATGGCCACCAACAAGGATCATTGGTCTACTTGGTGGAAACCCTGAATCAGCTTCCCAGATTTGGCTTCACAGTCACCTCTCTTAAGAGGTCTCTCCAGACTGCTTCTTCCCCCACAGTCAACCACTTCCTCCTCTGTGTCTCCAAAGCACTAATATACCCCAAGCACACTATAGGAACCATCTTCCTTGTGAACTGGCCTGCTTGGCTCCCCCCGACACATCCATGAAGTTGTGATCCTCTAAACAGTCAGGGCATCTAGCTGTCTTTGTATCCCTAGTTGGGAAACACAGTATGTGCACGTGTAAACTATGTTTTGAAGAAAGGAAGGCAAACTGGCAGGTTATGGTAAGTTAGTTTAATCGACTTTGGAGAAAACCTGGTATGGCCTCAATATCAGCCCTCGCCATTCTGACCATTCACTCTCAGAAGACACAGGCACTGAAATTAGGCGGTGGAAGCACTGAATTGGACTGGGCCACTTTTTCCACTTGCTTGTTAGAAAAAGGGCATAATTGTATTCCATAACTTCACTCTTCCCCTCTTTCTCATGAAGAAAACTCTAGAGAAAAGAAAGCTAATGCTGTGTCTTTCAAACGGGGGAGAATTTGTATTTAGTTGAATCTCATTGGTATTTTTATGGTGGCATTGCTGCCCTTGGAGGGGCAGTCCTCCCCAGCTACAGGATAGAACTTGTCTCATTTTCTGTCACCAGCCCCTATGACTTCATATAGAATTCCAGAATTCTGATAAACTGTCATGTGGAAAAATGATAAAGTGATTTATGCTCAATTTTTCTGGAAGGGAGAAATGCAAGGGCTGTCAGTCTGGGTCTTGAGAACAAATGAGTTACAGTTCATGAGGCAGCTCAATAAGGCTATCATTTCCCATCAGCTCCTATCACTGACAGCCAAGATTTACTAGCTGGGGAATGGGAAGGGGGCTGAGATTTGGTGCCAGGTGAATCGGCACTATTATTCTATCAACCAGGCTCATATAGACAAGAGGCTACCATGAATATTTGATGGAAGTGTCTTCCCAGAAATGTTGTGAAACAGCATTAGTTTTCTTCCATTCGCCAGGAGCCTCTCCTTTCTATCCACGTGCACCTCTTTGAAAAATGACCACTTGTAAACCACAAAAGCATTTGGGATTGTTTGTTTTTGCTGCTCCGGCTGGTGGTATATTCCTCTTGGCAGTCTGTGCATGCAGTGCACTAATTCACTGTCCTCCATTCTCATAGGATAAAGCGAAAAAAATCCCTCATCTACTGAGATGCTATAGACATTACATCTGTCATTATCCATCTGATGCAGTGGCAGTGAGCGTATAGCCTTCCAGCCCCCTATGTGCTCAGAGAAAACAGACTTTGATCTATGGCATTTGCTGTGTTCTCCAGGAAAACAAAAGGTGGAGAGGTGGGTTTGGACTCAGCATAGGCCTAGCAATTGCTCTTGCTGATTTACTCTGAAGTAGAAAAACATAACTGTAAATTCTAAAATATTATATGTCTCTTTTATTTGGGACATTTGTTTTCAGTGGGAAGGGGCTTTGCAGGGGACACACATCAGTACATTTCATATGGGTCAGGTTATTTTTTAAAAAAGACACACTTAACATTTGCTTTTTTGAGCTAGGGAAATGTATTTCTAAAATCTCTTGTGGGAAGTTTAGTATTTAGTATTTATGTTGTATTCAAAATCATCTGTAGATGATTTCGAATGCACCGTATCTATTTCATCATTTCTCAAGTGTAATCTTTTGTAATCTTTGGAATGTTAGTTCCAAAAGACAACAGTAGGTATTTGGTGAACATGTGGGAAATCTGGGCCATTTAATAAGGAAGATATTTTTGAACTGCTAGATATTTTGTTTGTCTTTCTACTGCCACTACATAGGCAGATTGCTTCATTGCATTATGAAACTTTCACTTCTCTTAAGAAATTGTCTAAATGTTCAGTCTAGTGAAATATTGAGCAAAAATGTTTCTTTTATATGAGTATGATGCCAGTTGCTGGCTACCAGTCTTTCTGGCACTGTGAGATCTTTCCTTAATAGCAGTATAAGTTTTGAGGCTGCCCAAGCCATGCCTTGTAGGGTCACGTAGTGGGTCAGTGAGATGGCTTATAGAGTTAAGTATGCAAAAGATGGTCAGAGAATTTGAAGCTAAGACAATACAAATTTTGAGTTTTAACTTATTATTTTACTCATTCAACAAATATTTATTCAGTAAATATTATATGCAGCCATCATTCTTGAATAGAGTTACTTATTAATCAAGAGAACAGAAATAAAAATAATTATCATGAAGAGTTTCAGAAAATCACAAATATTTTGAGAGAACTAATCAGAGTGAGCTAAAAGAGAGTGGTTATTGATTTTAGTTTGAAGTCAAAGACATTTTTCTGAGGCAATGACTTTTAAGCTGAAATCTGGATAACTAGAAGGAATATGGCATGCAAACATCTTGAGAAGGTGCGTTCCCAGACAAGAAATAGCTAGAATGTTTGAGAAATCAAGGAAAGTCAGAGGCAAGACTGTAGAGGTCTTGGTACATCATTAAGTTGTATGGAGCAGAAGACTTCAAAGCTCTATTTCTGGCCCCAGGAAGTCAGATACACTCATAAGTTTCCATAAAAAACAAGAAAGGAAAATTACGGTTGATGAGTATTCTCCGCAACCATCATAGCTAATGTTAAATGTGTGTTTTTTGTTTGCTATAGTTCTAAATGCTGTATATGTATTAAATCTTTCGATTCTCACAACAATCCTATGATGCTGTATTTTTATTAATCCCTTTACTGTACACCTGCAAACAGAATCACAGAGACTTTAAATGCACTTCCCACAGTCTCACAGCTAGTAAGTGACTGAGCCAGGATTTGACCCCAAGAGGTTTGGCTCCAGAGCTCGTGTTCGTATTAGGAGACTTACCACTGAGGAAACAGACTTAGAGGAAGTCTTTGCTGGATAGTTTTTCTGAACTTCATGTGAGTATACAACTTATGCCACTGAGATCAAAATAATAACAAAGTGTTATATTTTTCTCAAATGCTTCTTTCTTAGGCTTACCTAATCCTTTATATTAAAAAGTCCCAAAGCCTAACTAACATTCTATAGTCCAAACAGACACAGTATTATTGGGTTCTTGGAAATCTATTCTTCAGAAATACAAATTCTAAAATAAAAATACCAGATTAAATATAAGTAGTTTCTTTATAACGTTTAAATTCAGAATCCCCAATGTCAAGTGCTCTACGGACGAAATATTCACTTTATTACTTTTTAAAGTTAAGCTAACCCCAATATAGAGAATTAAATGATAGACAGTAAACCAGCAGGTTTTAAGTTTTAATCCACGTATCTTTGTCTTTCTGCTTTATCAGCTAACGTATTATCTGCCTTAAAGGCTTCTATTTGGTACACTGATGGAAATGATATGCTGAGTATTGTATGCATTTGTAGTCTGTATACTTTCATTTGATGACAAAATGTTATTCATTAAAACTAGCTAAAAAAGACCCTCTGTAGTATCAATTGTTTCTTCTCTTAATATTAGCTCAGATGCCTTTCTCAGCTCCTTCCTCTAAGCATGAAGTAAGATACACCAGAAATGAGGACTTTTCCAATTAAAGCAGCACTCACAGAATTTATAAATGCTTGTTTTTCTATCATTACAATATCATAAAACACCGTGTTTTTGATTCATGAACTTAAGAACTGATCTAATTCATAATATCAATAAGTGAGAATAAAAAGAATTTCAAGTTTGTGTTTATTCATATATGAATGCTTTGAGAACATAGAAACGTATTTGAATAGAACTTTTAATCCCAGAACTGGAATTTAGTGAAATTGAAATTTCTCTTGGTGCCTCTCTCCCACAGCCCACTCCAATCCTAGAGCAAATCCCCTTGCCTCTGTCCTCAGGGTACACCCGGAATCCCACCACTTTTCTCACCTCCACTGCTGCCAACCTGGTCCAGGCCACCAGGATCTCCTGTCTGGCCTCTCACTGGTTCCCAGCTTCTATTCTAATGCAACAGTTCCTTTAAATGCAGGTTCTTTGAAAGTTTAAGCCAGAACATGTCACTGCTCTGCTAAACACCCTCAATCAAGAGGCTTCCATCTTCTGCTAGTAAAAGTCTGCAATGACTATACGGTTCTCCATGAGCTGGAGCTGCCTCCTCTCCCCATCACCTTTATCACCTCTCTTCGCTCTGCTTTTAGCCACCCTGGCTTTCTACACTCCAGGCCCACACTGTCTCAGAGCTTTTTCACTTTTGGTTTCTGTCCTTCGAATGCCTTTCCTCTGGAACATATGCATGACTCTGAGTCAAATGTCTTTTTTGTGACTCTTACCCTAACTACCTATTTTAAAATTTCAGTCTCTCACCCTTGCACTGTCAGTCCAGGTGGCTCTGCTGTATTTTTTTCCATAACACTTAACAACTTAAATCATACTGTATAACTAATGTATTAAGATGACTTACCCTAGAAAATGAAATCCAAAAGGGCAGGGAATTTTTTTCTTGTTTATAATATATCATCCAGTGGCGCCATGCCTGGCACAGAATAGGTGCTCAAGAAATATTTGAGGAATTAATGAATCATTGCCTTTTAGTTAAGAACATTTGTCAGTTTGACCAAGTAAATAATTGCAAGTTTTATTTTTGCCAATTATTTGATCACAAGCCGTTATGTTCTGTGATACTACATTATTTCATTTTATTCTTTCTTTTGCTCTTTTTTTACTTCCCTTCCTTCCTTCCTTTCTCACCTTCTGATTTCCATTCTTTCTCTTTCTCTCCTGCTTCTCTTTCTTCTGTCTCTGTCTTTTCTACCTATCTCATTCAACAATATGGAACAAGAGTTAGGTTCTGTGAATATGCAAAGTTGAATCAGAAGCTGTTCCTCCCCATAAAGCTCACAGTCTAATCCTAGAAACTTAGAATAGAAACTGGCCATTCATGAGGTTAAGTGCTATGAGGTAAGGCATGTGCTTTGTGCATAGAGTTGGAGGTGAGGTTAGGGAAGTAGTCTAGTGGGATGATGCTTGACTTGGGTTTTGAAGAATGAATAATAATTTCCTCAACGCATGGGATACGGTAGCTGAATTGTAGGGAATACGTACTGATCTATTGATTTTTTTTTTTTTTTTTTTCTTAACCCCAGGTAACGGTCTGATGGTAAGTTCTGATTTTCTCAATAGTTATTATTTGTACAATTTTAACTGGCAGCTCCTTATATCTGGAAATACAGAGGCATGTGGATATAGCAAGAAAGCCCATTGGCATCATATTAAATGAGTGCATTTAGACCTGGGCTTCACATATGATTATCCAGTGAGTGAAAATTTTACAGAAATGGCTTTCTCAACACATAGCTTGTCATTGTTTTCATCATTATTGGAAAATTTGACATAATTTGTAATCTGAGAAAGAAAACCAAAATTTAGCTTGATAATCAGCGTCAAGCTGCAATAATTGTCTAAAAATCCCCAGAATTTAATTTTAACTTATTTCTGCTTCTATAATGTTTTTTTTCCAAACACTTCACCTTATAAACACTACACCCACTCAGTTTTAGAAAAGAGGGGACAGGCTATTTGAATGCATTGCTATCTTCTGCCATGTGGAAGATAAGAAGTCACTCTGGGTAATTCAGGATCCTTACTTATGTTATCAATTATTCCTTTTGTGTTTTGTTTATTCAACCTCTAACTTAAACTCAGTTTTTTCTGTTGACTCTTAACTGTGCTTCCTTCTGAGAGATAGAGATAGATACAGAAAAGAAAGAAGAGAAATCATTATGAACAAAACAAAAACTCAGGGCTTACTACCTTTCACTTGTCATCCTCTCTGTTCCACTTTTTGCAGCTGAATCTGTGGCCATTTCCTCATATGTTCTCACTGCTTAGCCTGCTCTCATGCAGCGTGCAGCCTTCCCTTTCCAGCAAACAGCTCTTGATGATATTACCAATGGCCTCCCTGTCACTAACTAAATAACATTTTTTCAGTCTGTCTTACTTGCTGTATCAGCATCATTCAACACCAATTCTCACACCCTCTTTCTTGAAACATTTTCTTTCCTTGTCTTCTGGGACACAACAGCCATCTGTTTTTCCTCTGTAAATGTTTCTCCAGTGTATCCTTTTATAAGTGTATTTTTACGACCCAGCTGCTAAATCGTGGAGTTAATAAAGGCTTGCTCCTAGGCCTTCCTTTATTCACACTATCCAATGTGATCTCATCCATATATGGAGCTTCAATTACCGCTTATTAATCTATTCAAGTGGTTCCCAAAACTGTATCTCAGGCATACACTTCTTCAGATCCTAGAATCACATATATAACATTTTACTCGACAGCTCTTCTCAATAGCTAATGGCATCTCCAAAGTTAAAGTGTGAAACAAACAACTCCCGATTTTCGCATTACGCTTCCGCTCTAAAGAAACCTAGCTTGGTTTTCATTCTGTGTTTTCTAGCTCATGAATGATACCACCAATCACCTGGTTGCTGATTTAAAAACCAGAGTCACTTTTTACTCCCTATGTTCATCCTAAAACTAAGTACTACAGATTTCACCTGCTAAATATCTCTCAAATCTCTCAATCTATCCACTTGTTGTTTTTTTTTTTTATCTCCATGAAACACTCTCATCTGTTTTGGGTGGACGACTACACGGGGCCTGCTCATGAGGTTACATCTCTTATCCTTATTTCTTCGTACACTAGACTCAGTGGTCTTTTCAGAAGCAAATCGTATGATGTCAGGCTTTTCCTCTTAAATACTTTCCCACTATCCTTAGGGTCTGTATTAGGCCTTTAAAATTATTTTAATGTCTAGAAAATCCGAATTCTAACCTCTTCCTGCTTGTTTTGTTTTGTATTTGTTTCCGTTTTTTTTTTAATCAGATCTGTGTTTTGGATGTAAAATAAGTCATTAATGTATATACTACAACAAAAAATATTGCCAATAAAACAGTAACACAAGCCTTGTTTATCACATGAATTATAAACTGCATTTCAACTTTAGAGATATAAAAATGTGAAAAAGGAATGTGGGCCATATACATGATGAGAAAATATGATATTTCTTCTGGTCCCCGCACTTCATCTCCTTGTCTATCTCCTTCCTCTCTCGACTCATCTCAGATAGGGGTCTCCAGGAAGCCTGCTCTGAAGATTTCTATGCAGGAAATTTACTGGAGCACACTCTCAGGATTAACACCTGAGGGTGATCCTAAAAAGCAAATTTGGGTAGAGAACTATGTCTGAGATGATTCTACAAAGGACTCAGGCTGGGATGGCCCTTCTTCAGTATCTTGAATTGGACAAGAAGTCTAGACATTTATATTTCTGCATTAACCAATCATCAAATGTGAGCTGCCTGCCCATAGAGAGCAGACATGACCTTGAGTCAATTTCTAGCAAAGCAAGCAGCTGGAGAATGAGTGCTCAGTCCTGAGGTAGGACTGATGAATCTAGGTGACACACCACAGTATCCGCTATAGTCCACTTCCTGCTTTATATAGTAAGTTATAGAAGAGCTGCTCCAAGATTCTACTGGTCCTCTTTTACCTGGGCATAAGTTGCAAGAAAAAGTTTAATGGGATAGACTTAAGCTCCTTTTGCTGCAGCTGGTCTCAAGACCATAACTTATACTTTCACCATTAGTCCTGAATTTCCTTCACCCTACATTAGTACTTCTGAAAGTCTAGGTAACTTGCCAGATGAGGTGGCTCAGATCCTCATACCTGAGAAGTCTGATCCTCTTGTTACCATCCCTTTCTAGGGCCATGCCTGCTGCACTTTTCTACTTACCATTAAAATTGGGCAAGTGAGTACCAAGAAATGTCCAAGTGGATCACCTAGTTTCCAAACTAAGAATATGATTCCTTGATCCACTGTGTAGTATCAGTTTCACCTTCTAATGATCAATATCATTTAGCCCTTCCAGGATGCAGACTTCTCTCTTTGCTTCGTAGTCTCTTAGAATGAGAAGTCCTAAGTTACTGGGCAAAACCTAGATTTTGAGATATAACGGGACACTTCTTTGTCCCTTGGTAGAAGTATGTTCTCTCTCAGAATCAAGACATGTAAATCTGTACAGCCTAGAATTATGGAGACAGGAAGCAGAAATTCCTCCAAGTGGTTCTCTAGGAATGATTGTAAGTAGGTCCATTCCTACTTTGACTCCATAGTTTCTAGACACATATATTCTACCTAGCATGGACACACAGTGCCATATACTAGTAATTGATTTCACCTGTACATTGTCATCCTTTCTGGGTATCACCTAAGATCACACTTGGATAATTGTGTCTTAAACAGGCAATTTCTTCACTATGTATAAAGCTGGAAGCTTATGAATGGTCAGTATATGATAGAGCCGTGAATCTCATGATTCACACACTTCTACCCCTCTTTTCTCTAAGATAAGTCAGTTTTTATAATATGGCTTTATGCAGAATCCTGTGTCAATGGATCAAACACTGTAAATCTCTAGACTCTAGTTCTGCAGAGTTTCTGCAGGCAGAAAAGAATAATCCATACCATGATATATATTAATTCCAATCAAGAGAAATGTGGTAGTTTAAAATGTATCCAAAAATTCCTTAACAGTCCTTCACCAAAAAGTGGACTTTAATATACTTTCTCTTGAATATGGTATAGCTTTAGTCATCTGCTTTTAGTGACACTGGCAGGAGTGAAGTTACGTGACTTACAAAGCCAGATTAGAAAAGGTGATCCAGTTCTCGCCTGGCTCTACCTTGCATTTGGGACACATGTCTTTAGAGTCCACCACTATGCTCTGAAAAGGTCCACATGGAGGAGTTTACCCACAGACTCAGCTGAAGTTCCAGCTGAGAGCCAGTATCTATTTCCAGCCATGTGATTGAGCAAGTACACTTTCAGATGATTCTATTCCCCAGCCTTTGAGCTGCTCTGGCTTATGTGCAGTGAAGCAGAGAAGTGTTGCTGATTTATGAGCAAAGCAAGTGTTGTCATTTTAAGCCACTAGAGATGGTTTTCTGTGCAGCGATAAATAAACAAAACATAGAATTACTACCCCTTCTAGGTGGAAGGGGTTTAATATAGTCAACTTTCCACCATATCTGTGGCATGTTCCTTCAAGGGATAGTGCTATATTGGGTGCTAAGTATTTTCTATTCTAGCAGGTTGAATAGTTGATGAGGGCAGTAACTAGATAATTTTTGTAAATGGGCCCATGTACATTTACATACACATAAGACTAGCACTTGGGCTGATGCTGAGTCTTCTGTCGTGTTGGCAGGTGCTTCTTGTGCATGTTAGATCAATATGAAGATTTTAAATATAGTGCCTATTCTCATATAGTCATTAACATGCCACCAATCCAGACCTCCTTATCCCTCATCATTCAACTCTTCCCCTTCCAGATCCATAATCAACCAGCTAAGCCCTTTGCCACTGTCTGTGAGTCAGTCTAAGTTCTACCTAAGGCCACTTTTATTTCCAAACAAAGTGGACAACCAGATGCATGACATGATAACCATTGGAGAATTGAAGATATGTTAACCATTGGAGAATTGCACCTCCCCACTAAATTTTCCAGTCACCCTTCAGCAGAGCTGTAAAGTCATCAATGCCCTTTTTTCTTTTTCTTATGTCCATGTAGTAAGCTGATTGATGCATGGCCCAAGCTTGAACGTTTTCTTCTTCTGCCAGCTAGTTATAAAGGACCTCCCTCCCATTCAGCCATATGAATTGAGAGCCATATGAATTGCAATAATGGTGGATGGCATGGGGATCTAAGACACCGGCTCCTGCATCTTATTTGGAACCCCTGGTCTGGCTTATGCCCAATCCCTGAAATACCATTTCTGTGTTACATTAGATTGTTACTGGGTACACCTGAATTATGATGCAGTAGTTCTGATAGACACTAGATTATAATGGGTAGTTCTGACATAGTGACCTCTACCCTATGTTCAGTCACTTCATCTTTTCCAAATCCCAGTAGCATGCCAGAAGCTCTATGTTGGCATGGTCTTGCAGATAGTATGGTTTTGCTCCAGGATCATACAGTCTATGTTATGATTCTTCTTTTTGGATTTTACATAAACTACCATTAGGCTTGCTCATCAAAGATGTTTCTGGCATCATAATATTTTCTGGGTTGTTTGTCCCAAGGAGCAGGGCCACTTATACCACAGCCTAGTTCTGTTTTAGACTCTGCTCAAAGCTGACAGCCCTTCATGTCATGCGGTAAATGAGTTTGAGCAGTATTCTCAAGTATGGAACTTGCTATGCTCAGAAGATTGTGTAGCCTATAAGGTATTGTTTGCTTTTCTTGGTAATGACAGTTGCAAGATGCAATAATTTGCTTTTTACTTTAAGGAAGTGTTTCATGATGTCAGAGACCATTAGACCCCTACACGCTTCACTCATGTGTGGGGCTCCTCAATTTTTATTGGGTTTTTCTCCTATCCTCCCACATGTGTCTTCTCAAGCCTCCAATTCATTTGCTACTTTTGCTCTTCTGTTTCAATTAGCGGGATGTTATTGATATGGTTCCATCAATATAGTGAACAAAGATGATATTCTCCAAGGTGTCCAGACAATCAGTTCCCTTCAGACTATATTTTGACATAAGAAAAAATAATTAACAGTATATTGGAGTAAGGCAATAAATATTTACTGTTTCTGATCGCATATGACATCCAGAGGCAGTACTAATCTGCTCTAGCAAAGATGCCATGTCTGGTATAATGGTTGCAATTAGAGATAACACTTGTTTGTTTGAGTCTTCAGTAGTTTACTGTCATTGACCAACATTCTATCTGGCCTTAGTATGACCCAAACCTGCAAATTATAGGGGGTAGCATAGGACCATTATAAGGGTGGCTTTAATCTCTGCTATTCCTTACAGGGTGAGATACTGATTTTACTGTCTTGACAGGGTCTAATATTTGGACTTCCTCATTACAGTAGTTCTTACCCCACACATCAGGAAACGTGTCATAAATTTGTAACTATAAAGTATATCCATTCCACTATACAGTCATGACTAGGTAAATGATCATAGCTGTGAGCACTTCCCTTACAAGATCTTTGCAGACACTGTTTCTTCTCCAAAATGCTGTTCATTTTCTTCTTTGTGTTCTTAACTCTTATCTATCCTTTCAATCTCGTATATCTGAGAGACATTCCTGACTATATGAATTCCCACTTCATATACTCTTATATGACCTGTAACTCTCCTTTTTAGTATATAGCAGAGTTTTGGTTTTATAATCATTTGCATGAATATTTAAGTAATATTTATTTTACTGACTAAGCTGCAAGCTTCATGAAATAAAGGGAGGATTTTGTATTTACATCATCTACCATAGCACCTGGCATGCAGTAGGAATAAAAGTTATTGTTGATAAATTATTGATTCGATAGTTGATATAGAATAAAGGTGAATACATTAATGAATTATGGAATGTACTAGAATTTGGATTAGAAAATTGATAGAAAATCTCAAATTCTATCTTATAAAAATAGATTCTTAGGACCCTTACAACTTCAAAAAAATGTTTATTAGTATCTGGCACATAGTATAAATTATGTAAATAGTTTTGACTGAATGAATGTATGGCACACAGATTTGATTCTACATATTTTATCCAGACTCATGTTTAACTAGCTTGAGTAGCTCAAAACCATTTTAAATTCCTAACTGGGATGGTTGTACCGTAATGGTTGTTGCTTTCAATATGCCTTTAAACATAAGACACGCATATAACAACATTTTAGAGAAATAGGAGTAACCGTATTATATATACTGTTAAATCATTCATTAAGTCAATGTGTTTACTTTTGTTCAATTTTACATATTCTCAACTACAAAACTTTTCTAGTATTAAATATATTCTTGAATTAGGCTTTTATTCTGTGTGACATTTTATATTATGTAACATGTTAGAGCATATTAAATATAAGAACATGAATTTCTATCTCCTGATCTTTTTTTATGTCCCTATAGAATTCCAAACACAAAAATTACAAAAAAGAAGTAATTTCTCATTGAGAGAAATGTCTGATTCAAGGAGCTTTTTTGAAATTTAAGAAATTGAATTTTAAGAAATTTCTTATTAGGAATGAATCTCATGAATGCTTTTAAATATTGCTGAAGGATGTATGTACAGAATTTAGAATATACAATTATTTGGAAGCAAAAAAATGGAAAATCTGCAACTCTTCATCAAAAGGAATTGTTAAAAAAAACAAATAATACATGCATGCAATGGAATACATACCTCAAAATGCAGACTACGAGGTCATTAGAAAGAATACAGTGGATATATGAGTTTTAATAACGAAACCTCTGCAAGGATGTCTTTAAGTTTAAAAAGTCTTTAAGTAAAAAAGGAAAGTATAGAGCAACTCTATGTAGAATGGTATCTTCTGTGCAAATAAAACTTTCTGAAAAGATACACAAAAAATTGTTAATACTTCCTAAGGAAAGGATTAGAAGGTGGAGGAAAAGTATATCATTCACTTTTTGGTTTTTGCTCTTCTTTGCTATTTGAGGTTTTATGTTGTCCCTATATTACTTTTATCATAAAAATTAATTTGAAAAATACTTTTTATTATTATATCACTTTATGAAATAAAAACTTTAAACATCCCTGTATTTGTTAAGGGTTGAAATTTTGTATTGTTGTCTAAATTGCATTTTATTGTACATTTTATTTCTCAGGTCATTTAATATTTGATTTCCTCTGGAAGACAAAAAAAATTCAAAATAATCAATAAGACTTCACACTGTTTTATTATTGAAAATGTGATCAATTTTTTTTCCTCACAGTTATCATGCCACTGTTGGATCAGGTTTCAAAATGTCATGTAACAACACTTTGTTTGTGATTAACACCTATAATCTTTTGTCATGGCAACAATGATATAATAAATGCTGAAGGAAGCGTTGACTGAAAACCATGTATTACTGCCAAGTGTTGGGACATTAAAAGGGAAAAGAGAGGAAAAAAGAAAAAAACAAAAATGAAAACGAAACAAAACAAAAAAAAAAAACAGACACTGCTGCCCAGGCTTGGCATGTCATTAAGGATGCTATGTGACCTCTTCACTGCCTTTGCTAAAAACATACGTGAGATTGCCAGTGGTTCATTCATCTGGCTAATTCTATGTATATATAGTACATATTTGTTTTGTAAAGTTCATCAAAATCAAAATAAACAAAGTCATTTTCATTCAATTTGTGTGCCTTCAAAATGGGGGAGCGGGAATCCCTGTGCAATGTAATTCTTTACTTATTTGCAGAACAACGGCAGAACATTGGTCTTGTTGGCTGTCTTACTCTGCCAGGAGTCCTGTTCACCAAGGCATGGCAAGACCAACATCCTGTTTATTATTTTACTCTCATTATGTTGAAAGCAAACACTACATTATTGCTTTTGTTCCTCCATATTGCTTCTATAAGAGTGTCACATATACAAGAAACATTTGAAATATTTCTATTGGTCATGCTAGTTTAGGAATTTAGAACCACTTTGAAATGGGTAAAGCTCAAGCCTCTCTCCACAAAACTTTATAATTGCAAAATATATAAGTTTTTTGTTTGTTTGTTTGTTTGTTTGAGACAGGGTCTTGCTCTGTTGCCCAGGCTGGAGTGCAGTGACGTGATCTCAGCTCACCACAGCCTCGAATTCCTGGGCTCAAGTGATCCTCCCACCTCAGCTTCCAGAGTAGCTAAAACCACAGCCATGTGCTACCACACCTGGCTAATTTTTGTATTTTTGATAGAGACGGGGTTTTGCCACATTGCCCAGGCTGGTCTTGAACTTTTGACCTGGAGCAATCCTGCCACCTTGTCCTCCCAAAGTGCTGGAATTACAGGCATCAGCCGTCACACCTGACAAAAATATACAAGTTATATAAAATTATATAAAACATCAGATGATATATATGCTTGTATTCTATGGGAAATGGGGTCTCTATGAAACGTGGCATCTCATTACTATGTATGTGATAATATCCAAACTCCTTTGTAGGTATATACAGCTCTTGTTTATCTAACTTACACCAATTTTCCAGTGACTTTCCAACCAGGAAAGATTCTGTCCACAAGGGGACATTTCACAAGGTCTGGAGACATTTTTATTAACACATTATGATGATGGTGGTGGGAGCATGTATCTAGTGGGTGAACAGCACGGATGCTGCTATACATCCTACAATGCACAGGACAGCCCCAACAACAACGAATAATTAAGTCCAGCATGTCAGTAGTGCCAAGGTTGAGATACCCTGGATGGCTTTTTTCTACTGCCACTTTCCAAATCTTATTCAGCTTCTTCTACACATTAAACCTCTTGTCATTTCCATTCTCTCTACAATGCCCTTCCTCTTTGACCACATAATCACTCATGTTTGACGTATTTCCTTTTGGGTAACTATTCATCAGTGTTTGCATAGAACTCTGCTGAGAATGCCCCCGTTGTAATATTATGATGTTTACTAGCATATATATCCTGCCCACCAGACCTTAAGCTCCTTCAGGGCTTCTGAAATGCTAGTGCCTGGTAGTCAGTAGCCACTAAATAATATTTGTTGAATGCTAACTGAATAAAAATAAATTTTTAAGGTTAAAATATATTTAAGTTTTGTTTGATGTTTTCATGAAAGAAGGATGGAAATGCCTTAACCAGTTATTCTTGTAATTAATCCAGGAGGTTGGCTATGATGAAACTAGGAGGAAATGACCTATTATAGGAAATAAAATTTCGGTCACAACAAAGGAATACTCTGCTTGGAAGTTAAATCAGGCCTTATGCAGTTGCAGGTGCTTTCATTATGCAGAAGATGTAAAATACAGTGATTGAACGGCACTTTCTTAGCAGAGAGATGATACAAGAACAGGTCATAGAATCTTAATTGACTTCAGCTATTTCAAGCATTCTGCTATCCTGTAATCATTTTAGCCTGACTTCTGCATAATTGCATCCCATCTCTGCAGGGCATAGTAACCGTGGAAGCTTCTCCAGGACTGAAAGTTTTTAAATGCTGGTGAGTTTGTGGAGGTGCAACTGAAACTCATTCTCTCCACTCCTCACCCTGTGGCACATATTAACACGATGGCCCTCTGTCTTCACCTTTCTCTGTGAAGTGCTGTCACTCCTTCAAGTCATTAGGTTGCCCTTTGCACTAGAGTAAATTCCATCGTATGATGTGTGAAGGGATACAGTATGTATCCCTTAAGTATGGTGTCTCCAGTTTCTCTAGAGCATGGATGTATTTTCAGTTTCCCCTGCAATGCTGCATACATTGGACTTAACATAACATGTGGTCTGAGTTCAGGCTCTGCTGTTTGTCAACTAAATGGCGCTATGCATATTACTTATTATCTTGGGTTTCAGTTTCTTTACCTGTAAAATGAAGCATTGGAATAAATTATCTCTAAGGACACTCATGGGATGAATCTCCTTTAATTCTATGATTACTATTGATTAAGGAAATCTCTGCTCATTATCTTCTATGTGCACATAAGGGATTTTATCGTGGCATGACCCTCAGCCTACTTGATGTTTAAACAACTTGCCATCAGACATTACTGAGAACTTTACTAATTTAAGACTACTCAAATGAATTTGCATTGAAATTGTGACCAAGACCAAGAGAGACTTGTCAATTCCCTTCAATAATCAAACAATAAATGCTTTTCCTTAATTTGGAAGCAGCTTCCTGCTTCTTGCCCTATCTCTAGCCTCTACAATCCATATTCAGGGGACTGGCTAACAGAGAGACACTGCTGTCCATTGTCTGGCTAGCTAATAAATCCAATCTCCCTATGAGCCTGTTGTGAACTTTGGTTATACTTCCACAGGATAGGGTCAAGAGACACTAACCTTAATGAATAGAAAGCTACACATTTCCTGTATTGGGATTTTTTAGTGCATTATGAACCATTTAGTCTTTTCTGGCAGCCTACACTTAAGGAAACATGAATTCTGGGAACAGGAATGGAGCTTCTAAGCATAGATTCTAACCTGAGGTTATTTTTGTTAAATGTCAGCTAATTCTGCCTATGTATAGTGAATAGAATTCATGATTAGAATTTAAATTATCAGTTCCTGTTCCTACCTGCTCTGATAATTGGCCTCATAAAGATAATTGATAGCTTATGCCTAAACTCATGCCTGGTCAAGCCTTCTCCTTCTATGTACGAAACCACTTTTAAGGGACAAGGAATTGTTAATTAAATAACATCATAAGTAAGTGAAAATATATACATAATGTTACCTTAATGACTATGCTCCATAAATTTCAAAGGCAGCCACACAAACATATAGAGAATTCTCTTAATGAATATTTTCACATTTAGGTTAAGCCTACTAAGATTCTCATAGGAAGTCAGATAAGCGACCTAGTTTTAATATGAAAAATATTTCAATGTATTTTAATGGTAATCTGTATATAATGTAGTTATCTACCTAAGGTGTGTTTTAATTTTTTTTTCCTAAAATAGACCTTAATCTGACATCAATATTTTTATGTTCCTGTAATGGCTGCATTTGGGGAAAGAACTATTGGAGACATAAAGCAATATCTAAATAGGAATGGACAGGCATCCACAGGGGCAAAAACATGCACCAGCCTGAGCTCAGGATACCTTTCAAATGTAACCAGCCAACACTGTTAATAAGTAGAAGCAGTGGAGAACCATGCAGTATTCCTACACACAACACAAAATAGAGGTAAGTGACAAACCTACAGATTGAAAGGTCAACAGGCTATCTTTTAGGTCAGGCAAAGGATGCATACAATTAGTGCTGAGGAAGATTAAGTATCTGAGGCTAGGACAATAACATCCACATTTAGACCTTCTTGTAATTAATCCTTCAGTTTGAAGACAATTTTACGTGCATACACACACATACACACACACACATACAAACATATACATTCACACACACACCCACATGTCAAATTTCAAAGTTTTGAGTCATTATAAAGTTTTGTTGAAGGCATTTAGTATAATGTAACTGAAATAACTGTTGGCATAGTCGTGATGGTTTGGAATACTTATATGACCAAAGGGGTGGAGCTGTAGCTCATATCAAGAAATGCTAATTAGATTTGGACTATAAATTGTTCCTATCAGCCACATTGACCATACAGCTGTGACTTTTCGGTTAGGCTGTTTTATTTGGTTTATTTTTTGTCCAGGACAGCCAAAGAATGAAGTAATTTTAATTGCATAAATTTGACTTTCAATGGATGCAGTCACTAAATACTCATCTCCAGAATGAAGCTTTAGCTTGCAAAGCTAAATATAAATTTCCTTATAACTGAAGAGAAAATACGCATCTTGAAATGGGACAAAACAAAGATATTTTCCAATATTAACTGCAAAGTCAGTATTGTTTTCATCCTTTCGTGTTTATCCCCATTATCACATTTCTCAAAATGTGACATTTAGTTTTTATGATCCATCAAACCAACTATTTGGAAGACTACCAAATATTAACAGAATAAATTCAAGACAATTGTTTTTCTGTTTCATCTTCTGTCCAATAGAAAACCTTAGAATGTATGTGTACATGTATCTATATTTACATATGTCTTCTGTTAGCAATTTACCATTCTTAAAGTTTTGCTTATTTTAATCTGAAAACTCCCTTCTTATATGTGCATGTATGATAAATTTTTGATATTCAAGTATTTATAATTAAAAGTATTATTCTGAACATTAATAATCCAAATCAACACTGCCATAATAATACTGTTTTTTATTAATAATGTAAGCCTACAGTTATAATTTTAACTCTCAATTTTGTACAGATGGTGATTTTTGTATCAAAAATATATTCTTAACAATAGAAATTGAAAGAAAAGATACTTCCATTTAATAGACTCTGCATATCCTGATAAGAATATTAATTGATTCTGAGATTGGAAAAGCATTTAAATACAGTGAAAATACTAAGTTATAAATTAACTGTTCATATTTGAACCTGAGATTGTTAGATAATTGAACATTTCTTTTACCAAGCATAATTTTAATTTAATTTTGACCCAAATAACTACATTTCCACTCAAGGAATAGTTTTCTTTTCCTTTTTTTAAAAATTTGAACTCCACTATTTTCTCACCTCTATAGAGTTTAAAAATTTAAACAAATATAATCCAAATTGCTTAAGCTACCTAGGGAAGATAATGTAAAAGTCAGTAATAATGCATAAGGACTATTTAACCCAGCTATGCAGTAATGCAAAAAATATGACTAAAACATGCATCAATGAAACCAGAAATAGAAAGAATCAGTTAAAATAATGGAACCTTTTAGCCCAAGCACACTATCTGTAAAGTAATTTTATCATGATTATTCTAGGTCCCTCCACCTGAAATCACTTATCTATATTCATTGAAAGAAAAGCCAAGTGCATTATCTGAAGGGCCCAAGTGGATTCATATTTATTTTTCCATTTTACTTTAGGCCCATTGATTTTTATTACTGGCAATGTTGTTTTAATAACATACCACAGCAGATTTTTAAAACACAACATTATGATGTAATGAATTTGATGTTTGCCTTTAAAAATCACTAATATATCCACAGGGTTGTTAAAAATATAAAATAAAATAAAAGTTCTTAAGACAAATATATTTCTGAGGAAGAATTACTTATTTAGTTATATAAGCTAGATGACTGATGAATGGAGGCTTTACTCCTCTGATTTCAAAGGAGTGGGAAGACCCGATCTGGAGTATTGTTTGCATTACTTGGTTTCCCATTTTCAGATAGTTATTCGCAAGCTAGGGTGCTCATAAAAGAGGATGAGAGACCAATTATGATTTATACATTACACCTCACTGAGGATAATCGAAGCCAGTGAGTATGTGCAACTTGGAGATAATATCAGTGCGAAGAGCCTTAGAAAGATTTCTTCAAATATGTGAAAGGCTAACATGGAAAAGAATGAATAGATTTCTTTCTTTATAGATATCTCAAACCTCTAATCACCAAATGGACTTAGATCAATATAATAAGGAATATTCTAACAGTGATATCCAATGGGAAGAGTGCTTCAAGGGAAGAGATGGGTTTCTTATACTGAATTTTCCTCTGTTGTGGATGTGATAAGGGGATTTCCTAGATGATCTCTTAAAATCTCTTCAAACCTGGAGGCTCGACATGGTGGCTCAAAGCCTGTAATCCCAGCACTTTGGGAGGCCAAGGTGGGCAGATCACTTGAGTCCAGGAGTTTGAGACCAGCCTGGGAGGCATGGCAAAACCCCATCTCCACAAAAAATATAAAAATTATCCTGGTGCAGTGGTGTATGCCTATAGTCCCAGCCGCTCAGGAGGCTGAGGCAGGAGGACCACTTGAGCCTGGGAGGCAGAGGTTGCAGTGAGCAAAGATCATGCCACTGCACTCTAGCCTGGGTGACAGAGCAAGACATCATCTCGAAAAAAAAAAAAAAAACTGACGTAATCCTTCCTTTTTTATATATGTGAAATTATATTGAAATAAAAGGGGTATTGTGTACTGAGTTGCTCCTTTTGCAAACCTCAGTTTGTTGACCAGAGCATTGGTCAACAAAGTGTAATGAGCCCACCCCATGGCTATGTATGACAATCAGTCCATTGGGACGGGGCAAGAACACATTGAAACTTCTATTGGGGTTTATTTTATTGACTTTTCTGTTTTTATATATTTGGATGATCAATATAATATTAGTGCAGTTAATTATCATTATAATTTATAAATGAATGCTTAAAGATTTTAAATGTCAAATGTAAATATGTAACCTTTTTACTGATAGGAGTATGAAATAAAAATAAACATTTGGGGACCACTTCAATGAAGTTAAAGCAGAGGAAAGTTAGTTTAGAATAAGTGCACTGGAATCTTTTATATCTATGACAGAAATAGAGAACAACTCAAAGAAAACTTAACCTTTAGATATTTATGTTGGTCAAGTTCATGCCAATAAAGCTATGCTAGGATTAAAAACTGAAAGTATATTGGAAGAACAGGACTTGTTAGCCATATTAATGTTAAAAATTTCATACATTGTCACAGAATTAATTGCGTATGTAAATTCGGGTGCAGTAATAATGGCATCATAGGTGAAGCACTACCCTTTCACATCTAGGGTCATGTTACATCTAACCCAAGGTTTTAACCACAATTAGTTGAGTGGTTTGGGGTTATTACCTGCCAAGCAGTAGTTCTTCATTAGAATGAATATAAAGCACATAGTTTATCACAATTAGGCTTAATTGGCTATCTTAGTCTCTGTTCAGTAGATGCCAAGAACAGAGACAGCATGGACAAAAATTCTCATCTCAATACCCAGAAAGGACAGTTTTAGGTCATTTCTTGCCAGGTTCTGTGATGGATGTGGTCTGACTTCACTTTAAAGTACTCAAACAGAGGGCATTCATAGCTAACAATACCATATTTTATTTTATCTTCCTGAGAGTTATTGACTTATCTTTATTTCTTACCCCAGCTTCTTCCTTTTTTCTCATTCTTTTCCGGTGCCATTTTTTTCCTTCCCCCACTTTCTCCCCCTCATACATGCATATAAACACACACACACACACACACACACACACACACACACACACACACACAGTTCTGAGGTCAATCAGGAGGCTCCAATCAAGCAATGAATACACAAGGAGGACTATAACAGAATGATATATGATTTGCATTAATAAATGCCATTCTTGCTTTTATATTGGATTCTGAAAGAATTTTTGTATGTAGAGGATGAAAAAAAAGTGAGGAACCATTTTTACCTAAATGTTTCAAAAATATCCTTTCCAATATGCAGCATTTTAAATTCAGAGACTATTAAAAGAGAGAAAAACAATCAGTTTTACTTCATAATGTTGAGAGCTCTTGGCAGAGTTGTTAGAAGCACTGTAATCTATTGTGCAAATGATGCTGAAATTTTGTATCATCTCTGATCAATGAGTGTTTCTAGAGTACTTAGAATCAAGAGAAAACAATGAAACAAATTAGTAGATGAGAGGTATAGATTTGCCTCATCCACAGGGAAACATATATTTTTAAGTCACAATGATTAATAGATCTAGACCCATCATATAGTTAAAAAAAGTATTGATTTCTCCTTCAGGCTTACCTAAGAAAAATTATGAACATGAGTTTATAAAAGCAAACGTATTGGTAATAAACTGAGAACAGAATGACAAAATAACTTTAAAGCCAGAAAATCCTGATCAAAGTTATTCAGTAAATATGTTATTCAGTAGCTATGACACAGATTGTTCCTAAATATAAACCAGAAGAGTATAAAATTATTTCATTGAAATACTTAGTTCTTTAATATGTTGGGTTTTTTTTTTGGGGGGGGGGGTTGCTGGTTTATTTGCTTTTGTGTGTTCATGTACATTAGACCAAACATACAAATAGATTATGTTGACTTCTGCCCTTAGTGAATATTATGTTTGTATTTAAAGGTTATTTTCATCAACTTTTCATCATAAAAATTGAATTATTTTCATTCTTTCTGTTTTAGTCCAGTCCCACCATTTAATTTGGACATTAAATCCTCTGAGTATAAATATGACAGTAACATAAATAAAATTGTAGAGGTGAAAGTAAATTGGCATATACAGTGTTTTATGCAGAAAGTATTATTGCAACTACTAAATTTTCCTGTAGTTGTGCTCTAAAATATAAACATGCAAGAGTCTTAATTTTATTTCCATTATAAGTGATAATTGTTATTGCTTGAGGTGAATGATAATATATAGTAAACAAAGAGCCCAGATTTCTATCAAAACTGAAAATCCACTTATGTGAGCAAAGATGAAAGGTCTTCTGTTTTAAAACTGAAAATCTTATGAATGGCCATAAATGTGTCTTTTAGGTAACAATCAGTGTAGTGAGTATCTTATTTTCTGAAAACATGCTTGGAAATTTATTGAATTATTGTTACTGAGTTGTTCTGCTAGGAATTGTGAGCCCATGAGTGGAAGAAGGGTGGTGTCTTGTCAGAAATTGAAATATATATGAAGAAAACTGAGCATTTTATTACCATTTAGCTTCTTTCAGGACTACTTAACAGGACTGATATCCCTTAGCATTGAAAACAAATGGTGTTCTCTTTAGTTATTGGATACTGCATTTAAGAATCTCTATAAAGATAAGCACTCAGCCTTGACAATGTAAAATCTGAAAGGAGCAACTCACAAGCTATCAGAAGAAAAGAATGAAACACAGAATTTTGTCTATTTATCAGCCCATCTACCTGAAATTATTTAGATTATTTAAAAAATTAAAGTCAAACATGCATGATCATCTTAGCACTATCATGTATGTTGAAATAAGGTTTATAACGCTTTGAACTTTACCCCTTCAGGTTACTCATCGGTGTTCTGAAACATGTGCATACAATATTCAGGTTAGAAATCATTGAGAAAAAAGAGTATTTAATTTTTAATGAGTATGCATGTCCTTATTGTCTAGAAATAGTCACTATAAAGATGTTGATGTGCGTGCAAAAGTTTGACCTTCGACATGAGCTGCCCAGCACTCACATATGCGTACAAGCCCTTGTCAGTTAACAAAGAGGATCTGAGGTAAAACTCCTAAAACAAAGGTACTACCAGCTGAAGTGCAGACAAATTTAGGAACTATGAGTAGGGTTGATCTAGTTTTCGAAATGATATTGAGCTCTTAGAGAAAATGAATAAGTGGAAAATGAATAGTTTATACTTCAGAGAAGCCCTGACAATTATAAACAGTATGAATCCACAAAACACATAAGTGATAAATGACTATGATGATATTAAAGAAAATCCCCCAGAGTTCCTTTTTAGTCTCTTTGGTTTGATTCCTTTTATAAATTATTAATATTTTTATTAATTATGAAAGTAATTTTTGCCATAAGAAAAATAATGAATAAGAGAAAAGGTAACATTTCCCCTAGTTACATGCTAATCCCAATCCTCAGAATAATGTTGACAAGTTGGTATTCTTTGGACATTTGCATGTGCCTATTTAAAAATATGTATAATATATAAGTGTAATATAAATATATACAGAAACATATATGCACATATATCTAATGTAACAGGTGTCCCTTCAGCCTGATTGGTCCCATGGCTAGTAGACTTGTGAGATTTCCTTAATTATCTGCAAATAAAATGGAAACCCCATTTCCTACAAGGAAGTGTGTAGTGACTTCCCACAGGAGTCACTATTTTTTTCAGTGAAGTGCAGCATGACAGGGGACAGGGATAGGATGGTGTAACAGTCTGTGATTATTGTAAGTGACATTTTTTTTTCTTTCAGGTATACCTATACTTGCACACACATCACACCCAGACCTATACACATAAACTTTAAAAAATATCCCTAAATAATGGTGCATGTCTGTTTCTGCTTCTTGCTTATTTCCCTCAATACATTTTGGACAGTTCTAATGTCAATACATACAAAGCTTTTTATTTCTCTCACAGACCAGTGGGAAGTATTCCATTCTGTAATGTACCAAAATGTATTTTCACTTTCCCCTTTTGATGATATCATGCCATTATTCCACAATAAAAAAAAAACGACATACCTAACTATACATCTATCTATCTGTGTAAATATATAATATAGTCCTTTACCCACTCATTCTTATATATCTGCAGAACAAATTCCTAATATGGGATTTGACTGAAGTATACACAACTTAAATATTTTTAGGTATGAAGACCACCGTTCCTTTGTTCATTTGCCAGTGCTGGAGTTTATCATTCCTTTAATTTGCTTGATCTAATAACGTGGAATATGTTATAGTTTCACTTCAGAATTCACAGTGAATATATTTGCATATGGTTACTGGCCATTTCTCTCCTTAAATATTTTTTTGCCCATTTCTTATATAGATTGTTTTATTGACTTATAAAACTATTTTATACTTTATTAATATGAGATCTTTGACTCCGTGAACATTTTCTTTTAGAATGCCATTTGTCTTTTTAATGTGTTTATGATATCTTTCATCCTCATGAGATGTATTATTTTATGTTATTTTATTTTTACTAAAACTTGTGGTATGTTATACATTATATTAAGAAATGCCCTCTCTACTTAAATATTTTTAAAATGTCTGCTGTATTTTCATAATTCTTTCATAGTTTGTTTGCTGATTCTTGGGCCCTTAATTGTTCTCATTTATTGTGGCAGTGGTGTAAGATGGGACTTTACTTGGGTTCATATATTTAAAGCGTTTAGAAAGGTTCTTGGGACACTAGAAACTCTTCGTGAATGTACTTTAATTTTTATTTACAATTCTGGATCAGGGTAAGTTGCAACTCCCTGAAGCACCTGCTCTGTGTGTACTGCCTTCACAGGAGGTAGGGCTACATACTGGTTGGACACCGAATGAAAATAAGCACCTAGATTCTAGAACTTTGTATCCAGTGACTAATTTGTAACCCCAGTAACATAACTTGGTTCTCTAGGCCTCAGTTTCCTTCCTGAGAAGCTGAGAATCAATCCCCTTGTCATTTCTCAAATTCTTCTTTCACAAGCACTGATTCTATAGGGCATTTGTTTACTTGAAGAAAATAGAAGTGAAATACATCGGAGAAATGCTGAAAGCTAAAGTAGTGGTATGTGTGTGAGAGAGTTTTGTTTTGCTTCTCACTGTAAGCCTTCCCGAAGTCATAAAGATTACCTGTGTTGTGAATCTACGTGTGTGATACAATATTTTCTAAACTTCTCTAACCACATATCCTTTTGTTCCCTCAGAACTTCTCATAAAAATTAATATCTTAGGGACTATATTTTTCGTGAACAGCAGAGTTAGATCATCTCTAAGTCCCTTTTCTTCTCTAATGTTCTGGGAACCGCATATGTTCTGAGGCTAAGCCATGCTGATAAACAGAACTTGATTTCTGAAGTCACTCCACAGGATACACATTATTAACACCCATTTCCAACAATTACACTGTTTCTCATGATGGCCCCACATACTCACGTATTCATTCAAAGTGTTATTACTTCCATTGCCAGGTGCCAAGATGCTGAGGACTCAGAGATACTTAAAACCTGGTGCCTTCCCTTGGAGTTCTTAGTACCTCTGTAGTGTGTTGGGAGCACCATTTATTTCTTAGTTTTAGAGGCATATCTACTTTATAGAATCAACTACTCAGTAACCTGTGTGTATGAAAGGTGCATGATATTTTAATATTGCAAGATGCTAAAGAGATTGCTTTGTTATTTTTTAGATAATGACTATCTTCACAGTGTAAGAAGTATTTATGTTTTGAATCCTGATAGCCTCTAAACTGAAACATAAGTTGTTTCACTGTCAAATTTGCTTAAAATAATTATATTTTCATAGCTCTGTATTTAGCATAGCTTATGCAAGTTTATTATATACATTTTTATGAATGCTTATTGAAAAAGTAAAGTATTGAAATATTACAGTTATTAAAAAAGCAAATAAGCCATATGATCAAGGAGCTGTTCTATAGATCTAATTTGTGACTTAATTATTTTAAGGTAAAGTATAAAATAGCCAAAGCAAATCTAAATAAATTTGTGCAGCAGGTTTAGCATTCCTTTTGTGGTTATTGTTGAAACTCTAGCAGGGTAATTAACAGATTGAAAACTATACTATTGTTTTGTACATTTTCAAAAGAAATTGAAGCAGTGTATTAGATGGAAGTAGTAGCTGTAGGCTACAGCTCTCTCTCTGCTGTTGGATCTGTATATCATTAACTGGAAATAAAATGACCCATTGAGGGAATACCATTTCCTCTGGATTCATATCTATACCATACTTACTATTATTAATCGGTCTTAAATTATGCTTACATTTAAAATAACCTATTCTGCAAGTAGAAAAATGAAAAACACATAGAAAAAAATAAAATTGAAAATTCTATGTTGTCAGGTAACATGAGCAGAATTATAGGACTGTATTATTTTGAGGCGATCTTCTAATACTATATCTAGACACTGCAATATCTCCTGCAAAACTGGAGATTTGCCTGAGACTTGGTCATCTAACCCTGAAAGCTGAGGACCAGAAACAAATGTGTAAACTTGACCTTTCCCCTGCCTACTAGGAGCGTGTTTTGAATTCTCACTATAGTCATGAATGAGTAAATGCAGAAAATGGGAGAAAGAATCTGCTTCCTGCCGTATTTCCCACTATTGTAGGAACTGAGAGAGTTTCTTCTACAGGTCCTTGTGACCACTGACTCCAACTTCTGGGTCAAGCCATCAGACAAATTCTGTCTGCAATTTAATGATCTCTAGTGAATGTCGATTGACTTTCTAGTTTTTGATCACCAAAGGCAAGTATAATGTGGGTACGCTAAAATTCCCTTACTAAAATATTTTAGAAAATTTGTTCTAAACGTTACCACTTTCTGGCCCACTGAGGCAAAGAGAGGAGGAGTCCCCAAAGACAAATAAAATAATAAATTAATTTAGACCCTGGGAGATTGACTGGCTTATAAAGTCCTATGTTGGCAATTTCAATGGTCTGAACAAAGTCCGCAAAATAAGCCTGTTCCTGGCTCTATGGCTTACATATGTCCTCAAAAAGAGCAACTTGCTGATGCATTGTAACATGAATTACCTTAGTACATTTACATTAAAATGTGACATGATATCAAAAGATTATAAGATTGCATATCTTTGTCATACTACCTGGAAAAAAATTATGGATAAGTGTCATGTTAAAATCTTGTTCTGTCATGAATATAAGCTGAGTGTAATCACAAATGACAGCTGAAAGAGGATAGAAAAACCATCTTGACACCTAAGTGATGATATTGTTATCTGTATTCTGAATAATTTTACTTATAACAGGTATTGCTCTGTAAGTTTGTCTTATGATCCGTGTTTTAATTCTGATGAGAGAAGAATGTTGGAGTTGAATATCATATTCCTTAACATTTATTTTCCCTAATGTTAATATTGCTTCATCAGTTTTCTTTCTGTTGGTATAATATAACTATAGTCATCTCTTTACTGTAAAATTAATTCCCCATGCCATCTTGCTAAGGTTTGTCTTCTATAAATCCTGTTTAGATGTTTTTTATTTTATTAGTATTTTGAAAAATCTTAATCTTTCAAAAAGCAAGTATCATCTGTTTATATTTATTGTCATTACTGATATTAGTGACCATTTATTTTACGTAGATGTATATGTGTTTATACATTCTTTCCTTATTTTCTCTTGTCCTGACCTACTTTATATTGGATTCATGTTTCTTAATTCTCTTTACTGTTTCAGTGGTTTGAAAGCTATATATTCTATTTGTAGTCTTTCTAGGGTTTAACCTTAATGTGTTCACTTAATTTACAGAGCTATGGTAGATCAAAATCACTACATTACTACAAAATATTATTGGAAATGTAGAGTTCTTTAGCCTTCAGGTTAGCCTTTAGCCTTTCTCTTTTTCACTCCCTGTCTTTGCCTCTCAGCTTTCAGATACCGTCCTTATGTTACTATTTAGTTTTCTAGTTCTACTTTAAAATATTTTCCTATATTTGTCCTTTCCTTTAACAATGTTCATTTATTTACATTAATCTATAAATTGAATAATGAGGTGGTCACAACTGCTGCATATGTTTTAGCCCTTCATTTTTATTTGGCTTTCTTCTCACTAAACCACATCCTTTAGAAGTTTCTTAAGTGCAGGTCTGTAAATAGTAACATATCTTTGTCTTTGAAAATGTCTTTAGTTAACCCTCATTCTTTTCAATGCTAGTTGTATGGAATTCAGGATTGTTAGGTTGAAAATTCTTTTCCTTTGGAATTATTAAGGTATTATTTCATGTATTTACCTCTTATTATTGCTGATGATAAACCTGCTGTCAATCTGTTCACCATTCCTTTACAGATCATATGCATTTTTCTTTTCTATGGCTTTTAAAGATTTTTCTTTTATGTTCTAAAATTTCACCATGGTTTCTCTAAAAGTGATTTGTTAACTGCTTTAAATTTGGCTTACTACTTGAACTTGAAGACTTATGTCTTTCTTCAGCTCTGGAAAATTATTAATCATTTTCTGTGTGATTACTGCTTCCCTTTAATTCTATCTATCCTTACCCTTTGGAATATTTTATTAAATGTATATTGCATTGATTTGTGTAGTTCTGTTTAACTTAACCACACTTATTTCCCCCCCTTTTAATTTTCTGCATTC
The DNA here is from genome assembly GCF_000001405.40 of Homo sapiens. Classification (NCBI taxonomy): domain Eukaryota; kingdom Metazoa; phylum Chordata; class Mammalia; order Primates; family Hominidae; genus Homo; species Homo sapiens. The sequence goes on from NC_000006.12 coordinate 124,460,929, forward strand.
TGGGTGGTTATCTTGAATTGGAAGTTTCTGGAACTTTTCTTTCTCAGTAATGTATTTTTTAAGTTTTTTAAAGTTATATTTTATTTAACATATATAGGTATTGGTAGCAAAAGAGAGGTCACTTATGTTAGTTCAGTCTGCCATTATTTTAGATTTAGTTGAATTCTGTATACAAAGTTTTGACACAAAATGTGTCTTTATACTATGCTGAGACAACATCTAAAGCTTCTCAGGAATAGCAAAACTCTTTTAATTCCTTGGTCAAAAAAGGTCAACCTGGCTTCGAATGTGCTGGAAGTATAAAATGACTCTACAAAATTACAGGGCACATTACTATTTTCTCTTTAGTGTAGCTTAATTGTGACCGTGTGTGTGTGTGTAGATACATGCGTGTGCACAGAAAGACTGATTTCTTTCCACACTTTAATTAATTGAAGAGATGTAGATTATGCAGCCCATTTATTTACTTTTCTCCTATACACGTTTTACTTTTCTACCAACTTCAGTTGTTAATATTAGACTGTTTTCTTAATCTGTGTTGCTTTTTTATCTCCTTCTTAATTACTTTTAGAAAATTTCTCTTTTTTACTCCCTATCTTTGCCTCTCCGTTCAATATATTTTTTAAAAGTTTCCTAAATTTTGGCTTTTTGTACCTGTTACAAATTATATATACATATTAAAACTGTCATCATAGTACTAGAATAATAAAAAGCAATGCTATTATCATCAAAACCATTGAGAATGCCTTTAAATTTTATTTAGAATATCAACAATAGTTAATTGGCTAGTGCACTCATTGAAGGAGAGCCTATTTTCTCTAAAATATTTTACCAGTAGTGGGAGAAGAACTGCCACATGGCTTCTAAGGTTTTATAGATAACTCCTTGTTAACCTCAATCATTTGACTTTAGACTTTTGTGAATTCCTTTTTCCATCTTTCTTTTTTCACTTTATTTTGTTTAGATGCTGGTTTGATTGAGGTTAATAAAAAAAAAAAGAAAAGAAGAATAGTGGTCAAAACCAAAAGGAATGAATGTGTATCTTCTGTGTAATTAAAAGTTGATGATATCTCAATATTTGCATGTAACAATATTAAATTCTAGGACTAACACATAATATTTCAGCACATTTTAATGTTTAGGTGTCTTAAAAATACATCCATTTTGGAATAAATCTATCTTCTACAGTCTTAGCTCCGTGAGGGGATACAGCTTCTAAAAGCATTACCTACAAAGTTTGGAACATAATAAGGAATGGAGAGAATTGTTAAAGGGAAGAGAAGGAAAGAGAGTATGCACAATGAGAAATAATATACTGTTTGAAGAAAATAAAAGCACCATAATCTAATAAAATTCTCAGTCTTTTCAGTCATTAGAGCTTAGCTTTAGAGAGCAGTCTTACTTTGTTGTTAATTTGTTTGAGTTTTTAAACCAGACTTACTAATTTAAATATTAGTACAAAAATATTGTAACAGCCTATGCATATTTGAGAATATAAACCTCTCATCCTTTTTTCAAATACAAACCTCACATTCTTCATACAAAGATCACAATTTTAATTCTTGTTCAAAGCTTTGTGAACATAGCTTTCAGAGTTACTAAGTCTACAAATAGTTACAGATATACAATAGGTAATGCCATTTTTATATATCTCAGGCTGCCTGTCCCCAGTAATCTAGAATGAGTAATTTCAAAAACAAGCATTCTGACAGTTCAATATTATAATTTATTTTTATACCAAATTTTTAAAGTATTTTTTTACTTTGTAATACTATATGCTTATTCAGGACTCTAGAGAAAAGAACTCCATTCACAAAACAATTCCTACAACGTTTTTATATGTACTTCGATGTATATCTCTATTGAGTACCACATCAGAGAAAATATAGAATGTGAATTCTGTATTATGACTTGCAGGGAACACAAAATACTCTGACATATGATTGAAATCTGCCTAATAGCAGTAAAGTGAATCTTAGGAAGAAAATCTTAAGCATTTATTCCACAACTCTGCAAAACAGCTTCACACTGAACCTCTGAGCCTGAAATGTGAGAAAATAAAGTGATTGAAGCCTGTCAGCAAAGAAAATCAGCCAACAGAGTGATGATTCCCCAGACAAGAAAATTGAAACAAGTATCTCTACTGCATTAAATCTGAATCAGTTACCATTCAAAAGGAAGAAATTTTTAGATAAAGCTGAGATTTACGTGAATTAAAAAACTAAGTGTGTGTGTGTATGTGTGTGTGTTCCATTTATTTACCCAACAACCTAAGTTTAAAGAATAATTCATAATTGAGTAACATAAAATAGCCCAATGAAATATAATAAAAGAGAACATTTAATTATTGCCACTACTACTTTAAAATGTTTGCACTCTATTTCAACCAATTATGTGCATATACATATGCACGTTTTACTGTAGCAAGTGAAGTCCTGGTTGCCTTTGGATCCCTTAATGCTTCCAAGATAAATTCTAAACCTCTTAACCTGCCAATAAAAGTCTTCTACCATCTGCCTCTATTGTATCACTCCCACATTATCTCCTATTTATTCCCTACAACATAACACCTGTTCCAGCCACTGTTGTTTTCATCCTGTCCCTCAAGTGTTCTACCACCTTCTACTCCATGTGCCTGTGCATCGCCCTATCTCTTTACCTTTGCCAATGCCTTCTTCCCTCCTCCCTTCCAATTATTTAAAGAGGTAAGTTTGTGCTATCTCATCGTACCTTTCTTAACTTATTCTGCCTCAAATTAACACTTTTCTCTGAACTCCCATAGCATTTAACTATAAAGATATACACATGCCTGTACAGGGCTATTACTAAATGTATTATTTAAAGATTGCTTTGTGTTTTTATTGCGATTTAAGATGTTATTGCTTTTCCAAGTTGTTTAAACATTGTAGTCATTTTTTATTGTGCTTGGATTTTGATTGGTTTCAATCCAAAATATGATCTTTAGAAATGTCTAAAACGTCTATTTAGCTATTTGTAACCTCTAAAGATAGTAAGGTTGGTGCAGGAAATCATTTGAATGGCACTTTGTTTTGTTTTGTTTTGTTATGCTTTGTGACAAAGTCTTACTTTGTCACCTAGGCTGGAGTGCAGTGGCATGATCTCGACTCACTGCAACCTCCATCTCCCGGGTTCAAATGATTCTATTCTCATGCCCCAGCCTCCTGAGTAGCTGGAATTACAGGCCTGTGCCACCATGCCCGAATAATTTTTGCATTTTTAGTAGAGATGGAGTTTTGTCACATTGGCCAGAGTGGTCTTGAACTTGTGACCTCAAGTAATCTGCCTGCTTCAGTCTCCCGAAGTGCTGGGATTACATGTGTGAGCCTGGCCTGAATGGCATTTTTAATGTGATGGTTTCAGAGTCCTTAACGAAGTAAGATATAATCTCCCATTCTTTATTACATGTCTATGATTGTGTCAAGAAGTCATTATTGCCATTTTTTTTACTTTCATGGTAAAAATAGCCATGAATTATAAGCTTTTTTTTTTTCTGCCAGCCTAAATTGTTACTTAGTGAAGATGAGAGTACAACTGATGGACTTTGATTTATTACATCTTTTTTTCCTCTAAGGCATATTTATTTCCAAATTTGCTTAATGTTATAGTATACATGCCATCTTAATTAGATTATCATTAATTACCTAATGAGAAGAGTTTGTGTGTTGTAACAAAGCACTTACCATTAAGAAATTCCTTTGACAGGTTTGTTAAAGATCTCATGATTGTAGATGTGTGGCGTTATTTCTGAGGCCTCTGTTCTGTTCCATTGGTCTCTATATC